>NC_000021.9:45161024-45314920 GCF_000001405.40 Homo sapiens
ATTGGCCTGCATTTGCTTGCTGTAGTCAGTACCATCTAGTGTTTTAGTCAATATCAGTTTTTGTAGTGTGGATGAGGCTGGTGATGGCAGCTGCAGCCTGTCTGGAGTTGCTGCTGCCGTGGTGTCAGCTGCAGCGGGGGAGGCTAGGGCTCTGTGCTCCGCAAGTTGGTGGGAACCGGGAACAGGTGGAAGCCCCACCCCCTTCCAAGTTGGAGGGGCAGGAGCCCTGCCATCCTGGGCACAGCTGCAGCCGTCCATTAGAAGCTGTGGACCCAGGCATCCCTGCACTCACCAGGGCCCAGGAAGCCCCCCTGCCCCGACAGGCTGAGAAGTGCCTGCTCCCACTGCTTGGTCTGTCCCCACTCCCAGCACCTGCTCCAGTTTCAGATCAAAGTTGTGGCCGAGCTGGGACACTGTCACAACCTGGCTGGGTGTGTGTTTGCTCAGGGCAGTGCTGACATGCCAGCACCCTGCTGCCTCGGCACCCCCAGACTTTGGGTGCTGACAAGCATGAGAGGGAGGCCAACGCGGGGCTGAGGGAAGCACAGCGCAGGCCTTGCAGCCGCCCCTCGGCAGGAACACTCTGGATGCCATGCACACTGTGGATGGCAGGATAATGGTGGCCGGAGGCAGACAAGCTCCTGGGAAGAAAGGGGAGGGTCCCTGGTGAAACTCCACCTTCAGCTTACAGAGGACTTAAGGCCTGGGGCCCAGGCTGTCAGTTCCACAGACCGGAGTGAGAACTTACGGTGCTTTTCCAGGGCTCACCCGTGACTGCCCATGCACCAATCAGCACACACTTTCCTCTGAAGCCCATAAAAACCCCCGGACTCAGCCAGACTTGGGCAGAAGACAGGATGACCTGCTTATGGAGAATAGCTGCCCACTGTGGGTCTCTCTGAGCTGTTCTGTCACTCAATGAAGCACCTCTTCACATTGCTCACCTTCCACTTGTCCACGCACCTCATTCTTCCTGGACATGGGAGAAGAACTCAGGACCTGCTGAATGGCAGGTCTGAAAGAGCTGTAACACAAACAGGGCTGAAACACACCCATTGTTTGCCACATTGCAGGCAATGAGGAGAGGAGGAGAGAAGGAGAGAAGAGCTGCAGCCCTTCAAGGAGCCCAGACCTAGGAGCTCCCTGAGCCAGGGCAGTGACGCCCCCTTTGGGGCCCTGCGGTTCCTGGTGTTTCCAAGCTTCTGGGCACTACCGTATTCCCTGGTTTCAGCCATGGAAGCTGTGTGTGGTATGCCTGGTTCAGCTGCAGCCTTGCAGGGAGCCAGTGTCCATGCCAGTGCCTAGGTCTGCCCGTCTCGCCTGCCTGGCTGTACACAATGGCTGGACCCCACGCCCACTCACTCACACACCCCTTGCCACTCCACACCTGGCTCCCCCTTGGCAGGCATGGGATCCAGGCTGGAAGTGTGAGCCGAGCGCAGCCTGCCAGGCTGTGTGGGCAGAATGAGCCCAGCAGGCCCAAGCAAAACTCGGGTAAAGGCGCCACCAGTGATGGAGGTTTCTGGCCAGAAAAATGATACCCTGAGGATCCTATGACACTGGGTTCTGATTTACCAAAAAGAGCCACACCTGACTAGGGACATGGGGAAGCAGGGGCATGCAGATCTGTCCATGAAAGCCCCACTCCTTGCTTTAGGGACAGTAGCTGATGCCCATGAGCGCTCCTTCATGCAGGTGCTGTGCTAGCACTGAATCACCAGGGCTTGCTCCGCCTATAGAACCACAACCAAGAAGATGGGAGAGACTCTCAGCTCACAGCACCAGACACTTCAGACCCAGGTTGGAGAGCTCAAAGGCCTGAAACAGGCTCCAAGAAGATGTGAGTCTGAATTCACAGCACCAGACACTTCAGACCCAGATGTGAATCTTAACTCACAGCACCAGACACTTCAGACCCAGGTCGGAGAGCTCGAGGGCCTGAAACAGGCTCAGTCCCAGACTCTCACCCAGTGCTCCCTTGCCCACTCGGCCAACTGTCGTTTTGCAGACGGCAGGCTGGTCAGAGGCTTCCCATCCAGAGTGACCCATGAGGTGTTTCTGTTCCTTAGAAGAGGATGCTAATAGCTGCCTGGGAAAACAGTTGTTAATGAGGATTGTACTAAGTAGATCCCTTTCACATCAATAGTAACCAGTTTAAAGCCTTTTCATTTACAAATATTTCTGATTTAAGGACTTAGAGGTCAGTTCGTATACAGTCAAGTTTAGATGTGTTTTGGAGAAAGTGGATACAGCCCACAAGGTCCCAAAAGGCAACAGGGCACAGGTAACATTCCCTGGCTGTGATTAGTTGGTTGAGGACATCACAATTGGAAGCATCCACGTTCTTCCTCACAGGAAGCACTTGGCTGAGAGCTGTGGACACTGAGGATGAGGCTTGAGTCTGTCCTAGCAGAGCTCAGGGCCTGGTGGGAAAAGCAGGGTGGTCAGGCCAGCGGGGGAGTGAGCGGGGAGGGGCAACCAGCTTTGCACAAGGAGCCAGGAATCTCCCCCCCACCTCCACCCTGCACCAGGGGCGCTGACTCTGGGCCCTCAAGGCCCCCCACTGGGGACGCTGACTCTGGGCCCTCAAGGCCAGTGGAATCCACAGCTCCATCCACAGCAGCGAGCCTTGTGCAGTTTCACCACAATAGTAGCACATGTGTGACCTCCTGGGGGCTGCTGGGGCCTATGGGAGTCGGGTGTGGACGGTGTGCTCCCTGGGCCTGCTCGGGGATGCTGAGTACCAGGCAGCAGTGAGTGGGGTGACTGAAGGGAAACTCGAGGGACATCTGGCCCTCTGTGCTCTGCCACGCTTGTCCCCATGCTTGCTGTGTTTGGTTTGGGGCCATTGGCCCTGCTCCTGTAGACTCAGAGTAGCTGTCTGTCCCACGTTGCCATAGCTGAGTTCACTCGGCACAGTCACCTTGGGCTGTGTGCTTTTTTTGCTGATCCCTTAACTGGTGAGAACTAGTGTACATTTGAACACTTGCCATCCAGTTGACACCTTTCAATAAAAATTGCAGATTAATAATAAATGATAGAAGTTCATGCTTTTTCCTTCTGGTGAAGACCAACACATGGCCCTGTTTTAAAGAGCAGAAAGCTGCAGAGCCACTGCCACGTCGCAGGCACCATCGAGGATGTGTAGGCGTCTCAGGGATGTTACGGCACTCAGAGGATTGGTTTATTTTTAGGAAACAACTGTAGCAGCCAAGTGAAGACTCTGGACAGGGGAGGACAGCTGTTGAATGTGTCCACAGGGCCTGAAGTAGGCCACGAAAGCCCCAAGTTTGCCCCTGCGTTGGCACAAGTACTGGGGCTGCCAAGGAAAAGGCGGGGGTGGAGGAACTCAGTGTACAGCATGCCTGTGGGGGCAGGCATGGCGCCCGGGGTGGAGGGGTGGAGGAGACCGAGCCTGCCCCAGCCATGTGGGCCTCGCAGCCCACTGGGAGAGGCAGGCCACAAACAGGGAGACAAATTGTGGATTGCACTGTGCGTGGAGGGAGAGGGAGCGGGGCGGTGGGGTGGGTTGGTGCCGTGTGAGCTGGGACTTGAGCAGTAAGGTGGGGTCTGATGAAGCCTTGCGCGAGGACATGGCAGGGAGGGAACAGGGAAGCACCCCAGGAAGTTGGAGAGGCTCTGGTGGGCATAGCGAAGGGCTGACGATGAGCACATGGGCATGTGTTAGAGCACGTTTTTTATTTATAAGGACATAACCCTGGCTGCTGCGAGGAGAGGGGCTCTCAGGGTCAAGAGAAGGCAGAGAGGCTCCTGCACAAGCTGAGTGGTAACAGCAGCGCAGAAGCAGACAGGCTGATGTGTTTAGCCCAACTTTGGGAGAAGAGCTGGTGACATGGGGTGTGGGGTGAGAGGGGAGAGAGAACCAGGTAGTCTCCAGGTGTCTGGCCTGATGGCTGCAGCGAGGTGACAGGATTTACACATGTGCATTGGTACACCTGCTGCCCGGGATGGCCAGGTGAACAAGGAGTTGGCCTTTGTCAAAGCTGAAAACACCTTACTTGAGGCCCCCTGGAGCGCCCAGGCCTCACCAGGCCCACCCCCGCCCAGCCACCCTAGAGTTGCCTTGCTGGGCCAGTCTACTACTGTCTGTGCGACTGGCATGTGGTTCTCCCGTGATGCATCCCTTTTAGTGAGGAAGGAACTAGAGCCACAGTTTGATGAAGTTGCTGACTGGACCACTGAGGTGTTAGTGCCCTGTGCAAGGTGCCCTAACTGACACCTCTGCATGTTTCTTTCTGTCATTTGTCCTTGCTAGAATTTCCTCTTCTGTTTCAGTAGATTCCTATTCTCATCAATATTTCCCACTTAATATGATGAATATTGTACATTATTATTCTTATTTTAATTATCTCCTTTTGCATTGCACTAGAAAAAATGTGTTTGCTGAAAATTAGGCACAAATCTTGCTTGCTCTGTGTACAAGATCTATAAAGATTCACTTAGCAGCTTGCAGGGACGGTTTCCTAGAAGGTAAAATATTTCACTGAAAATATTATCAATTGAATATTTTGGAACACTTCAGTGATATTGTTTGGTTTAGATAATACTGAAAGCAAAATATAAATTATGAGGTGAAGTGTATCTCTAAACATGCATGATTCGCTTGTTGAGTTTCAGATTGTTTTCGTTCAAATGATGTAAGAGGTTTATACTTCAGTTGCTTTTGTTAAATAAGCAAATCATCTTTCAATTTTTTTGCTACAAAGTTAATCTAGCTTTGGAATGCTGCTTGATGTATAGTAAAGAATGAACACGAATAATCTCCACTTTAATACCGTTTCTTTTTTTTTTTTTAGTTTGCAGTTCAAAGCTATTAAATATGGAACCCATAGCAGTCATAAAGAATATGTAAAAGTTTTCTCAAAGCTATCCATTTTTGAGGGGAAAATGGATTTAATCCAGTAATATATGTTAGTAATTTTAATCAAGTTCACCAGTTGTCTTAAACAGTTTTTAATCTATAAACTTTTAGTGGACTCCTAAAGATGACATTTTTTACCAGCACAATAGAAACTATTCAAGTTCTGATGCATCTTTAATGTAAATAAGTCATGTTTTTAATATTTTATTCCAGGATATGTTTTTTCATTAAGGGAAGGGGAGAAAAAGGGTAGGTATGCTCATTGTCCAAAGTTGATAAGAACATTATATTTATATATATTGTTTATACTTGTGGTTGCAATGTATCTATAAAAAGGTATAAAGAATAATATAACAATCATTTACCTACCCCCAGTACAAAACGTATAACATTGTCAATTTGACCATGTTAGCTGAAATCAAAAGCGAGCTCATGAAGAAATGATCAGGACACGGTGAGGGAACGGCCTTGTTTGATCCAGCTTGATCTTCTTCCATGTCGGCACCCAGTGTCTGGTCCTGTTTATTAAAAATAAAAAGCATGTTCATATGTCCCTGATTTAAAATGCCACCTTTACCAAATATTCTGTGTCTGGATGTGTTGTGTCTGATTCTGGGTTTTTCTTCCATCACATTGACCCTCTTTGTCCGTGAGCCACGCTGTGTTGCGTTAGGCACTGAGGCTCTTTATTTCTAATAGGAAGGACTAAGCCACCTGCTCCTTTGGTTCAGAGTTTTCCTGAGTATTTGAGTCTGTTTATCCTTTTCACGTAAATGTTAGAATCAGCTTGTCTAGTTCCATTAAAACAAGTTGGATTTGTACCTGGAACCAAGTGAAACTGAAGTCTCAGGTCTTCTGCAGTCAAGTTCAATGTTCTTCCACACTCACCACCTCCCAGCTCTGTCTTCTTACTGCATTAGGAGGCATTCTGAGAAATGAAGAGGTTGTTTTGAATATTGCTATCAAATAAGTCTTTTTTTTTTTAATTGACCATTCTTGGAATTTTGTTCCATAGGGGATATTTGATAGGGTTTTAATTCTTATTTGTTTGTAGTTCAGGTCATAAGAGGTTCTTTTAAAAAGGGAAGAAAAAATAGCTCTGTGAAATGTGCTAAAGTGCTTGCATGTGCTGTTTTGCTTTGTTTTATAACCTTTGGTACAAGAGTTGGCATTCGTCAAAACTGAAAACGTTGGCTTCTGCTCTGCAAGAGATTTGTAGCTCCCATTCTTAATGTGGGCGGTACCTGCAGGTACTCACCTGCCACCACACTCGGCATGACTATTTTCTACTGCGAGACATTTTCCATGTCCTTTTAAAAGAATTTTAATATGTAAGGGCAGGAAAACAAAGTGAACTGTATGAATTAGGTGAACTACATGAGCTGGGCTCACTCCTGTGCCTCTGCACTTTTATTGTTGTTGTAAAGTTTGTTTTTCCTGGTCCCAGAAATCTGAGAGAAGTCAGCCTTCTCAGGCAAACCAATTATTGATTAATTATGTATAAGAATTAAATTAGCCATTTGTGTGTCTTCTGCCTATTATTAATAAACTTTTTATTTTGAAGGCTGGGTGCGGTGACTCATGCCTGTAATCCCAGCACTTTGGAGGTCAAGGCAGGCAGATCACCTGAGGTCAGGAGTTCAAGACCAGCCTGGCCAACATGGTGAAACCCCATCTCTACTAAAAATACAAAAATTAGCCAGGCATGGTGGCACATCCCTGTAATCCCAGCTACTCGGGAGGCTGAGGCAGGCAGCTTGAACCTGGGAGGTAGAGGTTGCAGTGAGCCGAGATAGCGCCACTGCACTCCAGCCTGGGTGAGCGAGATTCTCAAAAATAAAAAATAAAAAATACTTTTTATTTTGAGATAATATAGATTCACATGTAGTTGTAAGAAGTAATACTTATATGAACGTAAGCCTTCATTTCTCTGGGATAAATGCCCAGGAGTACAATTGCTGAGTCATGTGGTAGTTGCATATTTTATTTTTAAGAAACTGCCAAACTACTTTCTAGAGTAGCTATCCCATTTTACATTTCTGCCAGCAGTCTATGAGAGATCCCTTTTCTCCACAGCCTCATTTCACCTGGGGCTGTCACTATCTTTAAAGCAACACTATGTTGAATAGCCCTTCTCGGAGGTGTGCAGCGGAGTTATCTCACGGTAGTTCTCAGCTGCATTTCCCTAGTGACTCGTGATCCTGAGCATCTTTTCATGAGTTTATTTTCCATCTGTAGATCCTCTTCGTGTCCTTTGCCCATTTTCTAATTGGACTATTTGTATATTTTACTGTTGAGCTTTGAGAATTTCTTATATATTCTATTTGTTGGATATATATTTTTCAAATATTTTCTCCCAGTCTGTAGCTTGTTTTTTCATCTTTTTAACAGGGACGTTTGCAGAGAAAAAGTTTTTAACTTCCAGTTTATCAGTTGTTTCTTTTGTGGATTGTGCTTTTGGTGTGAAGTCTAAAAACTCTTTGCCTAGCCCTAGATCCTGAGGATTTTCTCCTGTAACTTTCTAAAAGTTTTATAGTTTTATGTTTTGCATGTAAGCCCATAATCTATTTTGAGTTAAGTTTTGAATAAGGTAGGAGACCTGAATTGAGGTTCATTTTTTTGGAACTCTAGTTGCCCCAATAAGGCTGTGCCTCTTCACGAAATTGCTTTTGCACCTTTGTCCAAAATCAGTTGGACATATTTGTGTGGTGTATTCGGGGTTCTCTGTGCTATCCTCTTGTGATCTGCTCGTCTGCCCCTTGCCAACACTGTACCGTACCGATGACTGTAGCTTTGTAATAAATGCTGAGATCAGCTAGACTGATTGCTCCCACTTTATTTTTTTTTTATGGTGGTTACATTAAAGTCTTTCTAAGAGAATTCTAACACCTGTGTCATCTCCGTGTTGGCATCTGTTCATTGTCTTTTTTCATTTAGTTTGATATCTTCTGTTTCTCGATGTGACAAGTGATTTTTTATTGGAACCTGATTATATGATATTATGAGACTCTAAATCTTACTGAAGCCTTCTGTTTTAGCTGACTTTCTCATACACCACGGTGTCAGAGGAAGCGGGGATGCTGTCTCATTACTGCTGGATGGGGGATAAGTCCAAGTTCCCCACTGGGGCTCCCGGATAGCTCCCTGTTGTGAGAGGGCCTCATCACTGCTCCATCTGGAGCCTTCACTGGCAGCACCGGCTAGCGTCGTTTCTACCAGGTGGAAAGAGAGCCCAGCTTCCCCACATAGTCTCTCATGACTCTGCACTGTGGCGTGGGAAGGGAAGGGGTTGTTAGAGCCTGGTGGAAATGAAGATTGTGGCTTGTCACTCAGCCTTGTCTGACACCACCCAACAAGGGGACTCTGGGGTTGTCCTTACAGCCTGGCACGGGTGGGGCGTGGTTGAGGTTTTTTGTTTGGTGTTTGGCTGGAATAAAGCAATTCTTGTCTAAGAAGTTTTCTGTCTTGCTGGGCTACCTCTTTCCTGGTCCTTTGGCCAGAGAGAGCAGCTTTTGTTGCAGCTTTTTGTGTGTTTTGTTTCTGCCAATGCCTGCTGATGTTTCTGGCTTCCTCAGCTCTATGTTGAGAAAATGAAGCAAAAGGAAAATGCAGGGTCGCTTCTCAGGTCCTGAGGCCCCCTGGCTTGTCAGCTTTCTCTACATCTCTCAGTCTTTTTATGTGTGTTTTATGTATAATATCCAGGATTTTTAGTTGTATTTAATGGGAGGAAAAAGGAGAAGAACTCTGTCTTCCCACTGAGGAAGTTCCTTTGCCTATTTAAAACCAGTTTCAGCCAATAAGAACAGAGCTATTTGGACAGGCTTATTCGTTGTTCCTCCAGTTTATAGTTTGGGCTTCTGAGAAGCGCCTTGCCATCACTTTGCCTGCATAACCTCAGTGCCCTCACACAAGCCACCTGTTTTCCCGTCTTCGTGATATGCTCAGCCAGACCCCTTGTCTGAAGCTCAGTTTGACGAGCATGTCCTCATTTTTTGGCCTGATCCCTCCAGCCAGGAGGCTCCTGGGAGCACCCACAGCCTACTGAGGGCATCTGCCCTGACTGCAGGGGTCTTGCCCTCTGTGCCTACATCTCACCTCCCATTCTAGACCTTAACCCAATTACTTTTTATCGGTCCTTCCATAATGGAAATATTAAAACATATACAAATATACAATTGTATCAAGAACTCTGCATGCCCGTCAGCCACATCAGTAATTACCAACCAGGGCCCATTTGTTGGTTTTGTCTACACTCATCTATGTTTTTCTCACCACACTGAATTATTTTGAAGTAAATCCTAGATATTGTCCTTTCATTTGTAAATACTTCAGTATATGTCACTAAAAGAGAACTGCCATTTCTACACCTAAAATAATTTATCATAATTCCTTAATATAATCAGCTGTTCAGGCAGTATTTACATTTAAGTTTCTCAGAATCTGATTTAGGTTCTTGTATCTAGCACAAGTGCTTTGCACGTAATAGATTCTCAGAAAATATATCTTGAAATAGTTAATGACTATAAAATAATAATGCTTTTAAAACTATCTGGAAAACTTTGTTGAATAAAGGATTCTAAAGAGAAACTCATTTAACTTTTAGCAACACATTTGCCTGAAATATAGTGAGATTGAAAGTTATTAACATGATTTCATGAAAAACTATATATATAAAATATATATTTTTAGATATATGATATTTGATATAGATATATAAGATATATGCATGTTTTAGTACATTTTAGTCACCATTTTCTAAGAGCAATGAATTTGCCTTTTAGTGATTTATAAGTTTTATTTGTACACAAAGTAACGTGTGATTATAAAATTTGCAAATCTTCTTTTTCCTCAATTGCAATTTGATGATATTATTTATTATAGAACATGTATTAATACAGTCTGACAAAGTATAACTAAAATATTTAAGAAGAGGAAACTCTTAAATTTGTTAGTAACTAGAAATTGTAATACCTGTTCTTTGAGGATTTCCTGTGGTTTCTCCTGCCAACAAAATAATACTTATATGTAACTAAGAAATTAGATTGAATTTTAGCAGTCTTGTGCACTTTAGTTTTGTCTGCATAAGGAGCTATTCAAGGTGAGAGAGAAGTAGCTAAGTGAGAAGCTGTAGGTTCTGGTTCTGCTGTGTGGCTTTAGTTTACAGCTGGAAGCCAAAAGTCTACCCAGAGTAAAGATAGATGGCAAGTATGTGAGCGCCCTTCTGAGGTCTGTCGCCATCTGTCATGGCGTGTTGTGTCCTTAGTCCATCCTGCAGCAGGCGTCTTTCCAGAGTGCAAATGCCAGTGCCTTTGTCCCTAGTTCAGCGCTCTTCATGGCCCTCCATTGCCTGGAATCAAACCCACCCTCCTCAGAGTGGTGTGAGGTCCCTGGGCACTGGCCCTGAACCTCCCTTGCTGGGACCTGGTCCCACCCTCATCATCCCTCCATGTGGGAGAATCCACGCGAGACGTCCTTTGCTGTGCTGGAATCCACGCGAGAAGTCTTTTGCTGGACTGGAATGTGCCAAGGAGGAGTATTTTGTACCAGATGGCAGATCTGACTTCTCTAACAAGACCTAGTTCTTATTTTATGATTTTTTTCCTTTAATTTGTAATAATGTTGTAATTATTTCCTTAGAGTAGACTTACTTCATATTACTCCTGTCATAGGCACACTAAATGCTATTTTCTTACTGTCTTTCAGACAGAAACAGTCTCCGCCAGTCAAGAAACCCTCAAAAGTATTTTGCCATGGATATAGAAGATGAAGAAAACATGAGTAAGATCTAGGCCTATCACGTAGTATCAGATAGCTAATTTTATGTTAACATTTTGGTGTTTTTGCAAATGTATTTCATGAGACCAGTGTGGGGATTGTGTTTTTTCCCGTAACATCTTCTACTGACAGTGGCATGTTTTTAATTTTTGGTGTGTTCTCTGCAACAGGTGTCAGAATTTGCTGCAGACGTTTTTCCTTCCTCGTTATCGTCGTGGGGCATCACTGTGCCCCGTGGAATGGGCTTCTGGGTATATCTCATGAAGCCCCACTGTTTCATGTGGAGTCCTGTCACGGCATGCCTCTCAGAATAATGCTCCGAGTATTCACACATACAAATCGAAGATAACGTCTGAGATTGATTTAAATACCCAGGCCTTTGCAATAATAGGACAGAAATATTTCCCTTCAAAATGCAGGTTCTCGCTGCATTTTGAAGGAAGGGGATTCACACGTGTCTGTTGATCTAAAGTTCGCAAAGGTGCTAATGAGAGCTGGGACTGGTGTGGGCCTCCTCCTTCCGTGCTGTTCTCTCTGGTGCCGGGGTGGTGGAAGGCCGCTGGGGTACGTTGGTGTTTCGGTGAAGGTACTTATCTCTTCTAGTTCATCTTCAGTCCCAGAAAACAGGTTTAGATGCTTCCACGGAAGTTGGGAGAGTTTAGTAGAGAAATTACAACAAAGGCATCATTGCTCTAACTAATATAAATATCTGTATTTACCTTCTTACTTGTCTGAAGGAATAACATGCAGCTGTCAATGATGAGTGACATGTCACTGGGAGTGATTATTGAGCATTAGAACTTAGCACTTTCCCTTTGACTTTACGCACAACCGATGATCTGGGGTCTTGGAGTCACTCTTGCGTACCATGTAGAACCCAAACCATGACCCAGTGAAGCATTTCTGCATGGTATTGATTTCTGCATGGTATTGATTTCTGCGTGGTATTGCTGCCCCATGGGTGTGCTGTGGAGGCGGCTGGGCCTCTGCTCTATGGACTGTGTGCTAAGTGTTGGCTTTGGTTGAAGTCAGCCATCTGGGGTGTGAGGGTGAGACCACCTCCTGCAGTGCTACCCAGGAACCACGGGACCAGCGTGCTCACCTCACTTCCGCTGTTGTGTGCGCAGCCCGTGCCTGCCTGCTGGTGATTGTTTTTTTCAGGTTTTTATCCTCATCAATCCTGCTCTTGAGATCTTTTAAAAACCCAGCTTCATGTTTTTACTGGGCAGTTCTACTCACTGTTTCCAAGTTTGTGACAAGTTTTAAGAGAGAGGTTACGTCCATACTCCTCATTTGAGAAAATGTGACCTGTGCTTGGCCCGTGCAGTAGCCCACCAACGGAGCATGTGCAGGGGTCCTCAGGGCCTCTGTGTCAGGACTGTGGCCTACAGCCTACAGCTGCAGTCACCTCGCATAGACAGAGGCTTTGTGATCGTGTAGGTTCTGGAACTATCCCCAAACTGATCCTGTGATCACTTGACATGATAAAGAATCCTCCCACATTTTTCTGTGAAGAGAAGCCGATGTTGTAGTGCTAAAACGTGGACATTCTGGTCCTGTATTTGTATCATTTTGAAAGCAATGCAAAGCCCTGTCATGATCAGTATTTACATTTATGAAGTGTAGTAGCATGATACAGAAAGAGAAGGCATCTGTTGAAGAAAAGCTGTGAAAGTGGCATCTTTCTCTAGTTTTAGTATTTTCCTTTATGATAGTAGCATTTTCAGTGACAGTGAGAGTAGTATTTCAGTGTGCCCCTGAGGTGAATAAGAATTTAGAATGTATGGAATCTGTATCACAGAAAGTGTATTCTTCTCAAGATTATTTGTCAATCCAATAGTAATTATTTTTATTTCTGAAAGGAAAGCATTTGGTTATTTCAGAGGTTATAAATATTTGGTTAAATGCATGTCCAAATACATTTATAATGATTTGATTTTTGATATTGATAATTGTTTAGCAACAAAGTCAAAATGTAAGCAGTAATCTAGTATGTCATGTTCTTGCTCAGTTTATTAATCTCTGAATTCCATCTTGGCTCTATTTTTTTTAACCTTTTGTTCCCTTTGAGCACCGAAAGGAGTAACCTATCGAGCTTTTGCTGGAGGATGTTATAAATGAAAATTTAGTGTCCATTCCATCAGCTTTGTCAACTGGGAGAAGTGGTGTGTGTGTGAGGATTATTTTGGAGAAATAATGTCTGTAGAGAAAGTTTTAAATCTCTTAGCCTCTACCACAGTGTGGCATCAGTTTTCCCATGGATTGTGTCTAAACCAGGTTTATGCTCTGCTGTCTTGGCCGAATGATGACAGCCCTGGAATTAGAGATCTTTAACCTCAAAGATTGGCAGCCAAGGGCGAGGACTTGGTCCCTTTAAACATTCCCATGGATGAAGCTGATGAATATTTTCACAACTTTTCAGTTTGCTTAACGTAATGAGAATCTACCATTTTACACATGTAGTAGAAATAGACCCTAAAGCCACCATATGGGGCACTCGTAAATTGGTTTACAATTTTAGTAATATTTTGGTTACTTTAAAAAATACAGATTTTTGAAATCTAGTGGTAGATGTCTTTAACTTTCATTCACATTACAACCTTGCAGGGCACTGTAGCCCTCACCCTTGGGCTCCATGTGACAGCTGCCTAGCCATGATGGAAAGGAATTATTTCTTCTTCTCCTTTTTAAAAAGCTTGATGAACACTTTATACTCCTCTTTTTAAAATAAAAAATTAGGGCTGGGCACGGTGGCTCACACCTGTAATCCCAGCACTTTGGGAGGCCAAGGCAGGCGGATCACCTGAGGTCAGGAGTTCCAGACCAGCCTGACCAATGTGATGAAACCCCGTCTCTACTAAAAATACAAAAATTAGCCGGGCATGGTAGCCCACGCCTGTAGTCCCAGCTACTCGGGAGGCTGAGGCAGGAGAATCACTTGAACCCGGGAGGTGGAGGTTGCAGTGAGCCGAGATCGCGCCACTGCACCCCAGTCTCAAAAATACATACATACATACATACATACATACATACATACATACATACATGTATAAATCCATAAATAAATAAAATTTAAAAATTATGTTTATTTTGCCATGTAATTTTACAATTCTAAAATTGTCTGTATTAATTCAAAATCTGAAATACCTTTAAAAGTTAGGATAAACAAATTATTCTGGAAATTCATCAAATAATTGTTTTAAAAAAGACAAAATCACCAGAAAGTGTATTTATGAAGTTAGGAAGTTGTAACCTGCCTACAGCTTCAGTTTTGTGTCTTGTTCTTACACACTTTTCCTATCATGGAACGATATTAAGGATTCAGACTTAGTCAGCCCCCATATATAATATTCTCATTTTTAAATAGATACTAGAAATAAAACCATACCCTCCTAAACACAACAACTAAAAAGCCATAATACTTTACACAATTACATAAGCAGCTTTTAAAGATTGGTTCATAAACTAAATCAAATAATTGCATTTATTGATTGAATATTTTAAACCTGAAAAACTAATTATCTTGTGAATGCATGTTTTTAAATAGTTTTCTCTTCTGAGAGACGCTGCAATTTAAAACCCTTAGATAGCATGAGGGTAAACAACAGTGAAAGGAAGATGCTAAAATAAATATATATTTATCCATATATTGATATTAAATTGTCATTTCATTAGACTTATTAATGTAAGGTCTTTCTGGATTAATTTATCATCCCACATTTTGATAAGGTTGAAAAAGTCTAGGTACTTCAGAATATTCTCAGAAGAAAAAAAATTATTTAAAGATTTTACTTTTTAAAGCAAAAGCAGTTGGTGACACTAAATAGAAATGGTATTAGTCACTAAGCAAAGTGTCAGATTACTTGTTTAGTTGAGGCTGATAGTTCTTTAACTAAATGTATAACTCTTCATGTATACATCAAGGAATAAAATTTATAAGCACACATCACTTAACCAGTTACAAAGAGAGCTAAAGGAATCTATAAATTTTGCATTTACAAGATCCTGCAACGAAGGCATTGTAAGTTACTCTTTCTGGGCACCACAGGTTCCAGCAGCACTGATGTGAAGGAAAACCGCAATCTGGACAACGTGTCCCCCAAGGATGGCAGCACACCTGGGCCTGGCGAGGGCTCTCAGCTCTCCAATGGGGGTGGTGGTGGCCCCGGCAGAAAGCGGCCCCTGGAGGAGGGCAGCAATGGCCACTCCAAGTACCGCCTGAAGAAAAGGAGGAAAACACCAGGGCCCGTCCTCCCCAAGAACGCCCTGATGCAGCTGAATGAGATCAAGCCTGGTTTGCAGTACACACTCCTGTCCCAGACTGGGCCCGTGCACGCGCCTTTGTTTGTCATGTCTGTGGAGGTGAATGGCCAGGTTTTTGAGGGCTCTGGTCCCACAAAGAAAAAGGCAAAACTCCATGCTGCTGAGAAGGCCTTGAGGTCTTTCGTTCAGTTTCCTAATGCCTCTGAGGCCCACCTGGCCATGGGGAGGACCCTGTCTGTCAACACGGACTTCACATCTGACCAGGCCGACTTCCCTGACACGCTCTTCAATGGTTTTGAAACTCCTGACAAGGCGGAGCCTCCCTTTTACGTGGGCTCCAATGGGGATGACTCCTTCAGTTCCAGCGGGGACCTCAGCTTGTCTGCTTCCCCGGTGCCTGCCAGCCTAGCCCAGCCTCCTCTCCCTGTCTTACCACCATTCCCACCCCCGAGTGGGAAGAATCCCGTGATGATCTTGAACGAACTGCGCCCAGGACTCAAGTATGACTTCCTCTCCGAGAGCGGGGAGAGCCATGCCAAGAGCTTCGTCATGTCTGTGGTCGTGGATGGTCAGTTCTTTGAAGGCTCGGGGAGAAACAAGAAGCTTGCCAAGGCCCGGGCTGCGCAGTCTGCCCTGGCCGCCATTTTTAACTTGCACTTGGATCAGACGCCATCTCGCCAGCCTATTCCCAGTGAGGGTCTTCAGCTGCATTTACCGCAGGTGAGGAACTATGCTGCTGCTTTAAAACACGGGGTCATTGCTCTTGGTAATGCTTCTAGACAGCATTTTAGTTTCAGGATTACTGTTGACTTTCCACCTTGACATCACTCTGTCCCCACCAGGAGGAGTTACTGGTAAGTCTGGCTGCTTGATTTCCATGGCCATGTGGCCACTGAGAAGCCGTCTGCATCCTAGTGCATGCTGGGTCTGTCGCAATGCAAGGCAGGGACACCTGAGACCCCGTCCACCAGAGCAGTGTTTACAACACTATCCATAACTCCCTTCCCGTTAGGCAACCCCCCCCATGACCCTCATCCCACAGCAAGCCTTTAGCAGGAGAGACGGAAGAAGAGCCCAGTCTTTGAAACCTTGCCCCCAGTTCAGCACCATTTTCCTTCAAAGGTCTCATCCAAGAATCTCACATTCAAGATAAGTGACACCAGCCCGTCAGCAGCTGAAAACCCAAGTCTGGGTCAAGATGGCAGCCTCTGGGCTCCCACATGACTGGCTGGTGGCTGTTTGCTGTTCCTAAGCCGAGGAGCCCATCAAAGCAGCGAATGAGCCAGCACAGCAGTGAGCACCTATCAGAGCGCAGGGAGGGAGGGGCCTCCAACAACTGTTCTAGGGCCTGCCAGTTGCCTGGGAGTCTCTACTTTGAATTTCCTACATGGGCTGTATGAGGACTTCCCCGCATGCCCAGGCTGGAGGTGGACAGCCACCCTTCCATTTGACCTCCCCAGCGCAGTGAAATCAGGATGAAGGAAGGGGAAGTTCCAGGGTGGGCTTAGATTGGCTTACGTGAAAGAGAAAAAGTAAAGGAGAAAATCACCTTTAGTTCTCATCTCTAAATCCTAAAACTCTCTGATTATGTATTCCTTCTTTTCTTGGAAATCCAAAGTTCTTCTGGTCTATTGCAAAAGTTATTTTTTTGACCCTCTATTCATTTATTACTTTGTATCAGAGTCTTCTTCACTTTGAAGATAACATGTATACTACCCTTGACCACAAGACTTGAAGGTGGCTTGTGTTCCCCTGGAAGAATCCAAGTGTCTTATAGTTTCTTTTTTGCTGTTGGCTACAATTAGAACAACCTCTGTGCAGTTGTAGTCTGAGATGACCAGGAGTTCTGTTTTAAAGGAAGGAAATGTATTTTATTTTGCCTAAAGGAATCAAATGCAACATCAGTATAAAATAATATATTCAAGGTATTTCACTGATTTTTTTAACGAACCAAATACTTGCTTCCCTTATTAACCTCTCGTCAACATTGTTTATAAGGATTATTAGTCCATTTGTACTTTAACAAATCAGTGCTACTAGATCCCATGTGATTTTTTATTTTCAGGATTACTCTTTGCTAAAATATTAAAGCCTGAGTTCAAAATATTGTCTGATGTGACTTGTCTTCCCTTAATATTGACAGAGTGGCATATAAGACCATTGAAATGACATCAAATGCCGTGGATCCCAGATGTCTGAACCTTCAGTGTGTAGGCTAGGAGCACCTTAGGCGGACGCAGATCGAAGTGCCAGTAGAGATGTCACCCCTGCCTCCCTGGCTTGGCTGTGCGCCTGCAGTGACTTCTGTGTGGAGCATGACCAGAGCCCCTGGCTTGGGAAGGCTGGAGGGACATCTGTTGGGCTCCAGCCTGGGGAGGGGTGCAGGTGGGCAGGGCTGCCTCAGCCCCCTGACGCCACGTTCCTCTGGGCTCTGTAGGTGCTGAACACCAGGCTCTAGGCCTCATGTCCAGAACCACTAGGGCATGAGGGGATGGAGCTGCACTTCGAGTCTCTGCCGGAGTGGAACCTGCCACCTTGTGTCTTTGGAGCCCCCAGGATAGCCCCGGAATGTGACGTGTTCCTTGTAGGACCCGGGTGGCCCTCCCAGAAGCAGTCCTTAGGGCTTTGTTGGTGGGCTCTATTGTCCTTCAACAGGAAATTTCCAAATGTGCATTCTAGGATGGGTGGAAAACCCTCACTCTTTTTCTAGAGTAACCCTTGAAGGACGTAGGTCAGTCATCCCTGCGTGTCACTGCAGGTAAATGGTGCTGCCTGGGACTGTGTGGCATGGGTTTAACTCTTAAGAGCATTTTTTTTGTTCTTATATCTGTCCCCCAAATTAAGAGGGAAGTCCTTCATTAACCATACAGGTTAATGAGACCAGTAATCCCCTCAACGGGGTGCTGAGCCCTGGCCATGTGCCTCAGATGTCTGCGTTAACAAGCATCAGCCCCAGCACCAGACCTTCAGAGTGAGGCTCTCGGAACTCACTCTGAAGTTAAAGTTCTTCGCCTCTCTTTGAAAGTTTGGAGATTCGCCTAATCTTATATGAAATGGAAACTTTTATTTCCTCTGGCTTATCCCTAATCTTCTTATGACTTTTTCTTCTCTGTAAACTCGAATGAATCGCCCTTTCCCTCTGGCACCCTGGCCAATTGGAATGCGTCGCCCCTTCCCTCTGGCACCCTGGCCACGTCCTGTGTTTCTGTCACAGCCTCAGTTCCTCGCGTCCGCTCACCCCTGCATTGCAGATGCCGCTGCCTGCGGGTGCATGGATCCCTGCCACCAAAGCCTCTGTCCATTCTCCACATGACTTGTCTTGAACACTGTCCTCTGGGGCTCACTGATACTTGCTGGTGCAATGATAAGAGAAAAACATCCTGACAACTATCTTTTCTACTCATTTCAGAAATATTTTATTAAGGACCAACCTGGGGATGCTGGGTTTTCCTAGTAGTCATTTGATTTTCCAGACAAGTGTGAAATTGGTGGGACATGAGTTGAAACTGGCTCTTAACACCCACCTCCCAGCAGACATCATTTCCCAAAATGCCATGGGCTCATTATATCCAAGATAAATCATAAGCCATAAGACCATGTCCAAAATCCAACAAATACATCTGTTCTCAGAAGCACTTTAATACAGATGTCTGTCTGACCTGAGCATATACCTGTGCAGGTGTTCCGAACGTCTAAGCGCTTTCCCTCCCCGTGCTGTTCTCTGGTACATGATTCTATCGTACCGTCTGGGCGAGTGAGCGGAGTCAGAGTGCATTTGTGTGGAGAGGCTGGAATGACTGAGAAGCCTCTCGGTGGCGCCTTTGAGGGAGGTGCTGTGCACAGCTTGTGGCTTCCTTCACTGGATCGCATCTCCAAGCTGCCCCTTTCTCTTGCCTTTGATTTTGCACATCATCCTGGGCTGTGCTCCCAGCTGTGTGTGGCCCTGGAGCTGACTGAGCCACACCGTGTGTGCATGTGAGAGAGGGCAAGGGGGGTGGGAGGGCCATACTAGGTGGGCGTAGGCGTGGGCAGGTGGCCCTGAGCAGGCAGCTTTGCCTGTTTGCCTCGGTTTCCTCCTGAGGGCCGGGCTGGCCTGCGGTGAGGATTGGAGGGATGCTCATGTGTGGTGCCCACACTCCACACTGGCCCCACGCGGGTGGCGAAGGACTCAGCCAGAGCCTGGCAGGATCCTGGGGTGTCTATTTCCAAGGAATGTTCTGGAAGAAACATACACACATACTTGTTTGCCAGATTTACCTGTGTGGTCTTCCAGATGAGAAGCAGCCTGTGTCACTCCATAAGGGAGAGTGCGTGCAGCATTGAGAGAGTGAGCCCTGCTCCCAGCTGCATCTGGCCCCTAACCTGCATCTGTGCTTCCCACACAGGTTTTAGCTGACGCTGTCTCACGCCTGGTCCTGGGTAAGTTTGGTGACCTGACCGACAACTTCTCCTCCCCTCACGCTCGCAGAAAAGTGCTGGCTGGAGTCGTCATGACAACAGGTAACCATCTTGGTGTTGTATGTAACCCTGCCTGTTTTCATGTCTGACAAATGTGAAATGTTCTCAATCGACAAAAACCACTGTGCCACACCGACGGGAGATGGTTACTTCTTTTCTTCTTCAAAATGTCTGCCATATGCAAGTTTACGAACTGCACTTACAAGCTTTTTTCCCAAAATGTTCATCTTTTTAACCTAAGTTTGTTTTATCTGGAGAAAGCACACTATATTAATATTTGATTCCTGTCATCTTCATCCTGTGAATGGCCTCAATCTGCTCTGGAAGATGGCAAGGGGCTTACTAATTCTTCCTTTATTTGAAAGTAGAGCCTATCTATTGTATCAGTTAATGTTAACGATGCCAGATAAGTTTCAGTGTGACTTCCTTTGAGGAGGGAGAGAGCTCTAGCAAGAGTAGAAAATCCGTGGGGAAAAAAAGCACAATTTAGAACGATAGAAGAAACCCTATTAAATTAGTCTAGAAGTTCCCAGTAGCAAAAGGAACCCCCGAGTCCTCTCCCCACATCCCGCGAGTGAGAACACGCAGCAGCATCTCTGTGGGTAGCTCCTGGGAAGGGAAGCCACATCCTTGGCCAGTGTCTGGCACCCCAGGGTGGAGCAAGACTCAGGGAGAGGACCCCTGTCATGTGGGGCCGTCTCTGTACCCAGCATCTGCTCAGCCCAGCCTGGACAGCCAGATGCAGGAAGCAGACCCTAGAGGTCAGGGAGGAAGCTGGGGACAGTTTCTCTGTCTACATCCACCAGCCCAGGAGAAACCCCCAGTTCTCGGTATGTGACTTTCTTGTTCTTTCCCCCTGAGGGGTCACCTCTATCAGACTCTGCAGCCCTCTTCACTGACCCACCTCTTGCTGCCCTAGGAAACCTGGCTGCTCTGCTCATGACCATTGTTTCCTTGCCGTGCCGTGTCCAGGGAGGAGGAAGCACCCGAACAGCAGCTTCTATTCTAATGTTTTGTACCTGTATCTTCTCCCCCTTTTACCTCTCTCCTTACTGCTATCTTTTACATTAATCAAAGGTGAACACCACAACGACTGAATAGAATAGTTCCCTAGGTAAGACTCCCTGCCTCTTCCAGCAGCATGGGTGAGTGAGCTGGTCATGTTCTTTCATCGTTTTGTTGTTGTTGTTGTTTTGTTTTTGTTGTTGTTGTTTTTAACGACCTTAGAAGAGGCCGATCACCTTCTGGGAACACCTTACATCTTAGTGTGTATTTCACCTGAGACCACTTGCTCAGAGCCATAGTTTACATCTGAAGCCAGGACGCTGGAGCACTTGGCACTCCAGACAGCTGGTTCAGGGGGCTCCCGCTGGTTGAGTGGACTTGGGCAGGTTACAAGGCCTCTGTGCCTCAGTTCCCTCATCTATACAGTGGAGACATTAGTAGCATGAGCCTCAGAGGACATCGTGGGAATGCAGTGAGGACAATTTACCTAACAGACCTGGTGCTTACCTGCCACATGGTGTGCACACCATTGGTTCAGCTGCAGTGGATGCGAGTTTCCCGGCAGGTGACTTCCAGGGTCCTGGCATCACACCTCTGGTCAGTGGTTTATCTCACAAAGTTGAGACGGAGTGATCTGTCTGTGGGAGTTCACCACTGCTTGTGATTTCACTCCGAGTGTGGTTAATGGTGACAGTTTACTAATGAAAACATCACAAGTTAATTCTGTTTTCCTTCTTATTCCTCTGGGTGCCGTTAACCCCTCCTTCCTAATCTCTTCAGTACTTTGATATTTGATGTCAAGATTAATTACCAGACCAGTTAGTCCACCTTTCCATAGTGTTGCCCAGCTGTGTTCTAGTTGTGGGCATTCAAGAAAAGATGCTATTGCATACCAGAGGAAATGACTTCCTTGAGTTTAGTGTCTGGACACTAAGCAATGACGATGGTTGGCTTTCCAGAAATGTCACAAAGTGAGTCCTCAATAGGAGGTTGTTTGCGTGTATACATTTGCCCACTTAAAAAATAGGTGGTAAGAATATGCATGAAGATGAGCTTGAAAAGTCTGTTGGCCCCTGAAAAGTTAAGTCACTGAGAATAAGAGTCAGACTTCAGGAGCACAGTTAGGCAAACATTACTGTGAATTACAGAAAATAGTGTCTCTTTTTTTTTTTTTCAGGCACAGATGTTAAAGATGCCAAGGTGATAAGTGTTTCTACAGGAACAAAATGTATTAATGGTGAATACATGAGTGATCGTGGCCTTGCATTAAATGACTGCCATGCAGAAATAATATCTCGGAGATCCTTGCTCAGATTTCTTTATACACAACTTGAGCTTTACTTAAAGTAAGTTTAGTAAACAAATAAGGACAGGAAGCTCTTTTTAAAAAATATTCCTCTATTAGAAAACATTGCAAAACCTTTCATTGTTTCTGTAATCATGGAAAATCTCTCAAAATCATAACTTTAATTAGTAACAATAAGGCTGCATCCCATTCTTCCACAATGCTCAACACACATATGCACACATACATACAATAACATAACATGGTCATAAATTTCAAGTCTGTGTTTAAGACCATGTGATTTTGTTGTATGCTGTATAAATAGAAGTTCCCAAACTGCCAGGTAAAGATGGTAATTTTTATTCTAGTCACCGTTTCTAGAAAGAGCTAGTCATGTATCCAAACTCCTTTTCTTTACAAAGCCATTTTTTGTATGTGGTCTTTCTGTTCTGAAGTCATAAATTGGAAGAAGGAAAGGTTACTCACATCCTGATGACATATCCATTATTGAGTGACAAGAACTGTATTAATTACCCTAAACATGTAAAATAAATATTCCAGTTCAAACTTATCTTTCCCTTGTGGAAAATACTAGCCTCTGAAAATGATAGACTAAAATTTAACTATATACAGCTTTAAATGTTACTTTTGCAACTTTTTTCCTTTCAGTAACAAAGATGATCAAAAAAGATCCATCTTTCAGAAATCAGAGCGAGGGGGGTTTAGGCTGAAGGAGAATGTCCAGTTTCATCTGTACATCAGCACCTCTCCCTGTGGAGATGCCAGAATCTTCTCACCACATGAGCCAATCCTGGAAGGTATGAGACGAGATTCTTCAACAAGCCAGTTTCTCAAGAAAATGTTAACAGATAAAAACTAACCTGTGTTAATATCCCTTTTCCTTTTTTTCTTTTTATTTTTAGACTTGGATGTGGATCTGATAAGAGTCTCTATAAAAGCATGGATTTTTTTCTTTCCAATTAACTTAATTAGAAAACTTTAATGAATGAAAAATGCTGATTGTAATTAACCAAGTAATTAGAATGGAGTGAGAATATTGGATTAAAATTGTATCAGTATTTAAATTTGGGTAATAAATATCTCTAAATCAGAGGTGTATGTGATCCTCCATATTTCTGAGGAATTCTAATTTGCTAAATGTGTAATTAAAGTATTTATTTGCCTGATATTTCAGAAGCAGATAAACACTAGTGAAAAGTGAAACCACTATTGTGATCATATTTTTTTCCATCCTTCTTTACATTTGAGGTTAGCACTTTTGTTTTTTAGTGTTTTGTATCTACATCCCTTCTCCCAAGCCCTTAGGCATTGTTTATTCCAAATAGAACGTTTTATTACATTACTTTCCTTGTTTATAAAAGCAACAGGCATACTCACTGTGGAAAATTGCTAACTATTTTTAAAATATAAGAACATTAAAATCATCCGTATTCCTGTAACCCAGAAATACTCACTATGGATGTTTTACCATACTTTCCATGGGTTTATTTCTGCATCTGTCTAGATTTATTTTGGAAATTTTAAAAATATAGAGGAAAATAACATGGCAAACACCCAAGTATCCATCACCCAGAATTAGCAAATGTTAGCATTTTGTCCTATTTGCTTCAGTGCATTTTTAATGATAGAAATAAATCATTTCAGTTAAAGTGAAAACCCCATTTCCCCAACTCCCTTGGAGACCACTTTTGTGAATTTTGTTTGTGTTATGTCCTTCCTACTCAATTTCATATAATTTTTTTTTTTTTTTTTTGAGACAGGGTCTCGCTCTTACACCCAGGCTGGAGTGCAGTGGTGCAATCATGGCTCACTGCAGCCTCGACCTCCTGGGCTCTTAAGCGATCCTTCCACCTCAACCTTCCAAGGAGCTGGGACTACAGGCATGTACCACTATACCTGGCTAATTTTTATATTTTTTATAGAGATGGGGTTTCACCATGTTGCCCAGGCTGGTCTTAAACTCCTGGGCTCAAGCGATCCACCTGCCTCAGCCTCCCAAAGTGCTGAGATTACAGGTGTGAGCCACCATACCCAGCCTCTCAGCTTCACATACTTATTTTGTATGTGTATTTTGTATGTATGGCATAAACATATGCATTTATATGCACAGACTGTATTTTAAATTTATAAGCTATTGTTAGATGTGCTTTTCAATAAATCAAATAGATGGTTTACTACCTGTGGGGTTTTAACTCTTTTTCTCTCTTAGAACCAGCAGATAGACACCCAAATCGTAAAGCAAGAGGACAGCTACGGACCAAAATAGAGTCTGGTGAGGGGACGATTCCAGTGCGCTCCAATGCGAGCATCCAAACGTGGGACGGGGTGCTGCAAGGGGAGCGGCTGCTCACCATGTCCTGCAGTGACAAGATTGCACGGTAAGGGGCGGGGGCTCCCTGTGGCCACCTCCCTGCACACAGGATTCATCCATACTGTTTGCCAACCTCCCTTTTCCACAACCATTTGAATTTTGGCCCCATTTCCCACTCAGGTGTTCCACAGTATTCTTTGAAGGACTGAGGTTCTAAACAGGTGCTGCTGGGACCCCCGTGAGGGGCAGCAGCAGGACCTAGACACAGGAGGCTCCACGCTTCTAACATTCCTATCCAAGCGTCTCAGAGTTTACCACTTATTTTTAACGTGGGCTTCTGGGTTAAACTGATGTTTTTAATGGGCTACAGGCCATGACATCTTAAAACTACTGGCTTCTCCTCATTAGTAGTAGATGCAACTTCAGTGGTCACTTTCATCATTCAGTTAACATTTTAGGTAGTTGATATGTGCATTTTAAAAGTAATGCAAACCCTGTCACAGGCATTGTGTTCTAAGCACAGAGAGCATCCCCAGCCATTCTGTGCCTGGGTGTGGGTTAGGCTTAGAGGAGGGCTCTGCAAGCACACTTCTGTAGTCAGCAGGCACCTGGGAGATATTCATCTTTCAGAGGCCTGTATCCAGAGCAGATTATAGAAAACCCATTTCTTCAGATGGTATCAGTTCCAGTAGTTCTTTGTTTTCATTTTTAAACTAATGTTTATTTGGAAAAAAAAAGTAACATAAGCAGATGGCAAAAAGCATACAATGATAAAGTTTAAAACCTCCCTCTTCAGAGCCCTCCTGTGGCACCCACAGTGAGTGGGTTTTGACTGTCCATCCAGAAGCTGTCAAAATTGATGCATACGCATGTGCACGTGCACATCTTTTCATTGTTTGTGTGCCCTTTATGTTGATTTCCTTCAGTGGGTCTTGTCAGGCAACCTCAAGTACAGGGAGCTGGATTAATCACACATTTTGGGCCATTGCCCACAGCCCAGGTGACCACTGTGATGTGTTTATTTATTATTTGTCCTTCCAGTCCACCTCCACACGTGCATATGTCAACTTTGTGTGTGTGTGATGTGGGGGAGGGGGGTGTACTCTTGAAAAATACACAATAGAATTATTTGGAGTATTTGTTGCTAATTTACAGAAATGATACTATGCTGTAAATCCTATCTGATTCTTACATTTTCATTCAACCTATATTTTTGGAGCTATTTCTGTTGCTCTAACCAACAGCCAGTTCACTACTGACTTTTGCAAATCTTCCTTCATAGTCATGGGCCATTTCCTTCATGATGGGACACCCATATTTCTTCTAACTCCCTTATACATGTAGTCCTGTATATCCTTCAACTTATGCAAACTCCATCACAATATTATAGACTTTGCTAGAGTTTCTTGGGGCATATATTCAGGAGTTATGCACATATATAACTTCACAGAATAATATCAGATTGCATCCCAGGGCAGTCACACTAGTTGACACTTACACCAATAGTGCATTAAGTTAGCTTCTCCCACATTCTGTAAACTGATATCTTCATAGTTTCAATTTTTATTTCTCTTTATCACTAGGAATGTTGGGCATCTCTTCAATTACATATTAACTGTTCATCTTACACCTTCTTTGAGTTGTCTGTTAATATCATTTGTTCATTTGTCTTTTGAATCTCATGCCTTTTTCCTCTTGATTTTCAGAGTTCCTTTTACAGTTGATATTGTAATCCTTAGCCCTTTGAGAAGATGCAGTGTCTTTTGCAAGTCCTTTCCCCTTTGAGTAGTCTTGCACTCTGTTGAAGATGATTTGAACATATACACAAGGGTTTATTACTGTGCTGTCTGTTCTATTCCATATGTCTATTCTTTATGCCAGTGTCATGCTGTTTTGATTACTGTAGCTTTGTAATATGTTTTGAAATGAGGAAGTTTGAATCCTCCAACTTTATTCTTCTTTTTTCAAAATCCTTTTGGCTATCCAGGGTCTCCTGATATTTCATAAAGATTTTTGGATGAAGTTTTTCAAAAAATGCCATCGTTATTTTGATAGGGATTATGTTGACTCTATAGATTGCTTTGGTTAATATGGACATCTTAACAATATTAAGTCTTCTAACTCATGAACATGCGATATATTTCCATTTATTTGTATCTTCATTTCTTTCAGCAGTGTTTTATAATTTTTATTTTACAAGCCATTCACCCCCTTGGTTAGGCTTATTACTAAGTAATTTATTCTTTTTTGTGCTATTGAAAATTGTTTTCTTAATTCCCTTTTCAGATCATTCATTGTTAGTGCATGGAAATGCAACTGATTTTTGTGTGTTGATTTTGTATCCTATGATTTTGCTGAATGTGTTTATTATTTAAACAGTTTTATGGAATCTTTAGGGTTTTCTACATATAAAATTATGTCATCTGCAAACAGATATAATTTTACTTCTTCCTTTCCATTTTGGATGCCCTTTATTTCTTTTTCATGCCTACTTACTGTGGCTAGAACTTCTAATACTGTGTTAAATAGAAGTGGCAAAAGTGGACATCCTTGCATTGTACCTGATCTTAGAGGAACAGTTTTCAGTCTTTCACCGTTGAGTACAGTATTAACTGTGGTCTTTTCATAAATGTCCTTTATTACGTTGAGTTAGTTTTTTTTCTATTCCTAGTTTGTTGAATGTATTTATTATTATTAAGAAAGGGTGTTAAATCTTGTCAGATGCTTTTTCTGCATCAATTGAGATGATCATGTGGCTTTTGCCCTTCATTCTGTTAATGTAATGTATTAATTGATTTTCATATGTTGAACCATCCTTGCATTCCAGGAGTATCATAATGTATAATCCTTTTAATATGCTATTGAATTTGGTTTGTTGAGAATTTTTGCATCAGTAGTCATCAGAGATACTGGTTTGTAGCTTTTTTTACCCTTCTTCATGTCTTTGGCTTTGATATCAGGGTACTGCTGGCATCATAGAGTGAGCTTGGAAATGTTCTCTTTAGTTTTTTTGGGAGTCTCAGGAGGATTGGTGGTAATTATTCTTAAATGTTTGGTAGAATTCTCTAGTGAAAACATTTGGTCCTGGGCTTTTTTTTTTGAGATGGAGTCTCGCTCTGTCACCCAGGTTAGAGTGCAGTGGCACAATCTTGGCTCACTGCAGCCTCTGCCTCCTGGGTTCAAGTGATTCTCCTGCTTCAGCCTCCCGAGTAGCTGGGATTACAGGTGCCTACCACCATGCCCAGCTAATTTTTGTATTTTTAGTAGAGATAGAGTTTCACCATGTTGGTCAGGCTGATCTTGAATTCCTGACCTCAGGTGATTCACCTGCCTCGGCCTCCCAAAGTGCTGGGATTACAGGCATGAGCCACTGCCCCCAGCCATGGGCTTTTCTTAATTGGGAAATTTTTGATTACTGACCCAATATTCTTATCCATTAATAGTTTGAATGAATTGTTTTTCATATTCATTATTCCTGCTATCATTTGGTTACCATCTGCATGGAATATATTTTTCCATCCTTTCACTTTCGGCCTATGTATCCTTAGATCCAAAATTAGTCTCTTATAGACAGTACATAGTTGAATTGTTTTTTTTTTTTAATCCATTTACCCAATCTGTATCTTTTGATTGGGGAGTTTATTCATTGACATTTAAAGTAATCACTGATAGGGAAGACTTACTGTTGCCATTTTGCTGTTTTCTATATGCTTGTAGCTTTTTGCTTGTTTTTCCCTTATTCTCTTACTGCCTTCCTTTGTGTTTCTTTCATTATTTTTTCTAATGATAGGTGTATTAGTCCATTTCCATTTTCATTGCTGATAAAGACATACCTGAGACTGGGCAATTTACAAAAGAAAGAGGTTTAATGGACTAACAGTTCCACCTGGCTGGGGAGGCCTCACAATCATGGCAGAATGTGAAAGGCACAATTCACATGGCAGCAGACAAAAGAGAGCTAGCTTGTGCAGGGAAACTCCCCTTTATAAAATCATCACATCTCATGATACTTATTCACTATCACAAGAGTAGCATGGTAAAGACCTGCCCCTATGATTCGATTACCTCCCACTGGGTCCCTCCGACAATACATGGGAATTGTGGGAGCTACAATTCAAGATGGGATTTTGGTGGGGACATAGCTAAACCATATCTATAGGATTCTCATTTATTTTATTTTTTCCTTTTGTCTCCGTGGGGTACAAAATCTCATTTCTTTTTGTGTATATTCTACAGGTATTTTCTTTGTGGTTACCATTGCAATTACATAAGACATCTTTAAATTATAGCATTCTATTTTAACTTAAACTTCAATTACATAGTAAAACTTTACTTCTTTACTTCCACCCCTTCACACTTTGTTATTGAAGTCACAAATTACATCTTTATATACTGTATATCCATTAATATACATTGTAGTTGTAATGTTTTTGTCATTTAAATTTTATGCACCAAAATTACAATAGTATTGGTTACTGTATTTGTCCATGTGCCTCCCTTTACAGGAGAACCTTATTTTTCCATACAGCTTAATGTTGCTATTTACTGTCTTTCTATTTCAACTTGAAGGACTCACTTTAGCATTTCTTGTAAAGCAGGCTAGTGGTAATGTACTCCCTCTACTTTTGTTTATCTGGAAAAGTCTTAATTTCTTCTTCATTTTTGAAGGACAGTTTTGCCAGATCAAATATGCTTGGTTGACAGGGTTGTTTTTTTTTTTTTTTCTTTCAGCACTTAAAATATATCATTCCACTCCTTTCTGGCTTGCAAGGTTTCTGCTGAGAAAGCCACAGGTCTTATGAATCCTCCCTTGTATATGACAAATGGCTTTTCACTTGATGCTTTTAAGATTCTCTGTCTTCACTTTAGACAGTTTGATTAAAATGTGTCTTAGTGTGGTTCTCCTTGGATTTATCTGTATTTCATTTCTTTGAGCTTGAACTTGTATGGTCCATTTTTTTCCACAGATTTGGGAAACTGTTAGCAATTATTTCTTCAAATAAGCTCTTAGCCCCTTTCTCTCCCTCTTCTCCTTCTGGTATTCCTAGAATACTTGTATAAGTCTGCTTGATAGTGTTCCGTAAGTCCCTTAGTCTCGCTTCACTTTTCTTCATTCTTTTTTCTTTTTGCTCCTCTGACTCAGTGATTTCAAAAAAAGACAGTGACCTGTCTTCTTTTTTCCACCTCATCAAGTCTTCTGTTGCATGCCTTTAATGATATTTTCAGTTCAGTTATTGTATTTTTCAGCTCCAGAATGTTTGGCTCATTTTTATACTAATATCTCTTTGTTGATATGCTCATTTTGTTCTTGCTAAGTTTTTCTTATTTTGTTTAGTTGTCTATGTTCTCTTCTAGCTCATTAGGCATCTTTATGACAGATATTTTAAATTCTTTTTTAGACAGCTGATAGATGTGCATTTCTTTAGGGTCAGTTTCTGGAAATTTACTTTTGGTCCTTTGGTTGGGCTATGTTTTCCTGTTTCTTGTATGCCTTGTTTATTTGTGTGCTTTGCTAATATTTGGGCATTTGAAAAAAGAACCATCTCTCCCAGTCTTTGTGTACTGGCTGTGTACAGAGAAAGTTCTTCACTAACAAGCTGGCTAAAAAATCTAGGACCTCTTATGCTTTTTCTGATTTCCTGCTTCTCCTGGTGTCTTCCTGGAAAACTGTAGCTCTAATGTGCTGCTTGCCTCTGTTTTTAGTGGCTCCCAAACTCTGGCACCAGTCTCATCACCGAGTCTGATGAGACTCAGGCAAGACAGAAACCAGCCCTTTGGGCAGACTCCAGACAGCCAGAACATCAGACTAATGATCCACTCTTTTGTTTCCATCCCAAGAGAAGAGCCCCAGTATGGAGGCTTCCTCCCACTTAGGGGGCACCTTGCTATTTAGGGAAAGGGGAACAAACAGGCATGCCAAACATCGTGAAATTTCCTATCCCTTTCATTGGAATCTCTTCCTAGTTTTACAATGGACTGGATACTGTAGCTTCTCAGTTGGTCTCCAGAGTTCTCACAGAGCCATTCTGGTCTGTATATTGTTGTTAACTCAGGGTCTCTATGGGGGAAAGAGGGCCTGTAGCTTCCTAGACTGCCATCTTGTTGAAGTCGTAGTCCAAACACCATTGATTTTTTAATGTTAACCTTATGGCCAGCAACTTAACTCACTTCTTATTCTATTTATACTTTCCTGGTTGTTCTTGAATGTACCAAGTCACAGTCTGTAGATATTGACTGTTCTATATCTTCTTTTGTTATACCAGTGTTATTTTTCTTTATTCCTGCTGTCCAGGACCTTGGATGATATGTTACAGCACTGTCCATGTTTTCTTCCTGAATCTCAGAGAGATTGTGACTGAAGTTTCTCCATGATGTACAGTTTTTCCTACAGGGTTTTAGTAGGTAGCCTTCATCATGCTAGGAAAATTCTGTTCTATTCCTATTGTCTTAGAGCCTTTTTATTATCATATATTGGTGTTACTTTATCAAATGTTTTATGTGTGTCTATTTTTAATAATGGTAAATAATTAATAGATTTCCTGATGTTGACCACCTTTTTGCAATTTTGACATAAACCTTACTTTATTATAGTCACTCATTGTTTTAACATACTGTTTGATTTGGATGACTAATATTTTACTTAGGATTTTTGTTTATAAGTTAAATAGGCCTATACTTTTTCTAAACTTTTTAATTGTTCTTATCTGATTTTGGAATCCAGGTTAATATAGCCTCATAAAGTGTGTTTGTCTTCTTGTTCTACTTTCTGAAGTCTCTTCTGTGAGACAGCAGTGTATAGAACCCAAGAGTGAAAACATCCAGTCCATATATATATATATATATATATATATATATATTTTTTTTTTTTTTTTTTTTTTTTTTTTTTTGTAGTTATCTTCATGGTCATCCTCATCATTTTGGCAGGAGACCAGTCTAGTTGTAATTTCAGGTCCTTTTCTGGTTACTAGTTTCTTAAATTTTTGTTTCTTCTAGAACAAATTTTTAGCCTTCATATTATTCTAGAAATTTATCTAGAATTTGAAGGTTTGAGGCTTCTTTGAAATAAGCCAGTCGATTGTGGCATTCAGGCAGAGAAGGTGGATCTATAATTAGAGAATAGAGTAGTGGTAGTAAGAGAATGAGAGCTAAAAAAGAGTCAGCTAATGCAGTCAGAAAGAAGAATGCTAGAATTTTACTATAGTAGAGCTACAATAATTTCTGTGGTTATGGTTTCAAAGAGAAGGTATGGGAAGGAGTAACCAAATAAGGTGGACATTTGAAAATTATGATGTATTGTATTTTACAAAGATAGCCCCACCCCAATGCCTCTCATCTAAAATCCTCTCCAACAATGTGACCTTGCCACTGTACCATTAAGAGGTGACGTCTCTGTCCCATGCCCCTGAATCTGAGCCTGTCATGTGGCTGCTTTGAATAAGAGAATGTGGTGGAAGTAATGCAGTGCTAGTTCTGGCATAGCCTTAATTGGCCTGACAACTTCCATTTCTTGCCTCTTGGTGGCAGCCACCATGTGAGAGTTGTGACTACCTTGAGACCACCGGGCTATAAGAAGCTGCCCCTCCGTGTAGAGAGGCCCTGGAAGATGAGATGCCACTTGAAGACAGAGAGAGGGCAAGGAACAGTGAAGCACCAAATGTGTAAGAAAAGAGTTCACCTGGAAAATGGAAGAGAGAAGACAAAATTACCAATATCGGAATGGGAGAGGTGAAATTACCACAGATGCTACAGATACTAAAAGGATTGTGAAGAGAAATTATAAACAAGGCTATGCCAATTGACAATTTAGATGAAATGGACATATTTCCTGAAAGACACATACTACCAAAGCTCACTTAAGAAGAAGTAGATAACTTGGGCTATCTATATGTATTAGAGAAAATGAATTTGTAATTTAAAGCCTTTCCCACCAAAAATGACAACAAAAGAAAAACCCCAAGCTCAGATGGCTTCACTATTGAATTCCAAACATTTAAGGAAGAAATACCCATTTTGCACAAAATATTCCAAAATTGAAGTGAAAGAGATACTTCCCAACTCATTCTGTGAGGCCAGCATTTCCCTGGTTCCAAAACCAGATGAAGACACCACAAGAAAATAAAACTACATGTTAAAATGTGTCATGAACATAGATCCAAAAGTTCTAGCAAAACTTTAGCAAACCAAATACAGCATCATGACCAAGTAGGGGCTATCCCAGGAATTCCAAGCTAAATGAAACATTTGAAAAATCAATATAATTCACCATATTAACAAACTAAAAAAGACACAGAAAAGGCATTTTGCAAAATCCAACATGTGTTCCTCATAAAAACTCATAGCAAAATAGAAATAGAAGGAAACCTTCTCAACCTGATAAAGGAAATCTATGAAAAATCTACAGGTAATGTCATTCTTAACAGGGAAGGACTGAATGTGTTTGCCTAAGATCAGGAACAAAACAAGATTGTCTGCTCTCCCCACTTCTGTTCAACATTGTATTGGAAGTTCTAGCCAGTGCTATAAGGTCCTAAGAAATCAGTGGTATCCATATTGAAAAGGAAAAAGTAAAACTGTCTTTATTTGCAGACATACTTATCTATGTAGGAAATGAGATGGATATTATACAAAACTATGAGAATGAATGAATGATTTTAGCATTGTGGCAAAATATAAGATCCAAAATGTAAAATACAAAATCAGTTATATTTTTTACACCTGCAACAAGCAGTTGAAATTGAAATGTGTAAAGCAATACACTGAAAGCTGTATATTGAAAACTGTAACACATTGCCTAGAGAAATTAAAGAACTAAATAAATGGAGAGATACATCATGGTCACTGGTTGGAAAACTCATTATTGTCAAGATACCAGTTTTCACCAGATTGATCTATAGACTCAATGCAATCCTAATCAAAATCTCAACAGGATTTTTTGGAGAAATTGACAAACTGATTCCAAAATCCATATGGAAATGCAAAGGACATAGAATAGGTAAAACAACTTTCAAAAGGAAGAACAAAGTAAAAGGCTAATACTACCTGATTTCAAGATAGTAATTAAGAAAGTATGATTTTGGCATAAAGATAAGTATACAAACAAGTGATTCCTTATTATTTAGAGTGGTTTTAGGTTTATAGGAAAATTGAGTGGTAGATACAGAATTTCCCATATACCCAGTGCCCTCACGTATGCACAGCCTCCCCATCATCAGCATCTCCCACTCTAGTGCTATATTCATTACAATCGAAGACACATCATCATCACCCAAAGCCCACAGTTTACAATGGGGCTCACTCTTGATGCTGCACATTGTCTGGCTTTGGACAAATGTATAATGACCTGTATCCACCATCACAGTGTGAGACCAGAGTAGTTTCACTGCCCTAAAAATCCTCTGTACTCTGCCTGTTCACCCCCTCTCACCTCCTAACCTCTACTCTGCCTGTTCACCCCTCTCACCTCTTAACCTCTGTATTCTGCCTGTTCACCCCTCTCACCTCCTAACCTCTGTACTCTGCCTGTTCACCCCTCTCACCTCCTAACCTCTGTACTCTGCCTGTTCACCCCTCTCACCTCCTAACCTCTGGCAACAGCTAATCTTCTTAATGTCTTTGTAGTTTTGCCTTTTCCAGAATGTGATCTAGTTGGAATCATACAGTATGTAGCCTTTTCAGATTGGCTTTTTACACATAGTAATTTACATTCAAGATTCTTTGATGCCTTTTCATGGCTTGATAGCTCATTTTTTTTAAGTGCTAAATAATAGTTTGGATGTGCCACAGTTTATTCATTCACTTCCTGAAGGTTCATTGCTTCCACGCTTTGGCAATTACAAATAAAGCAGCTATAAATATCTGTGTGCAGGTTTTTTTGTGGACATGAGTTTTCAAGTCCTTTGGGTAAGTACCAAGGAGCACGAATGCTGGGTAGTATGGTGAGGATATGTTGAGTTTTGTCAGAAACTGCCAAACTGTCCTTCAAAGTGGCTGCACTGTTTTGCATTCCCACCAACAATGAATGTTGTCCCACATTGTCACCAGTATTCAGTGTTGTCAGCAGTTCTGGTTTTGGGCCATTCTAATACACATGTAGTAGTATCTCGTTTTAATTTGCAGATTCCTAATGACATATGATGTGGAGCATCTTTTCATGTGTTTATTTGCCATCTGTATATCTTCTTGAATGACGTGTCTGTTAAATTTTTTTGGCCAATTTTTAATCAGGTTGTTCATTTTCTTATTGTTGAGTTTAGAGAGTTTTTTGTATATTTGGAAGAGTTCTTCATAGATTTATCAGATATGTCTTTTGCAAATATTTTCTCCTAGTCTGTGGCTTGTCTTTTCACTCCCTTGTCTTTCACAGAGTAGAACTTTTTAATTTTAATAAAGTCTAGCAAATCAGTTATTTCTGTCATAGATTGTGCCTTTGATGTTACATCTGAAAAGTCATCACCAAACCCAAGATCATCTAGATTTTCTTCTGTGTTATCTTCTAGGAATTTTATAGTTTTGCATTTTACATTTAGGTTGTGACCTACTTTGAGTTAATTTTTGTGAAGGGTGTAAAACCTATGCCTAGATTCTTTTTTTTTTTTTCTGCATGTTTATGTCCATTGGTTCTAGCACTGTTTGTAGAAAATACTACCTTTTGTCCATTTCATTGTCTTTGCTCTTTTGTCAAAGATCAGTTGACTGTATTTATGTAGGTCTGTTTCTAGACTTTTTATTCTGTCCCATTGATCTATTTGTGTATTCTTTCACCAATACCATGCTGTCCTGATTACTCTAGTATAGTAAGTCTTTAAGTCAGGTAATGTTAGTATTACAGCTTCATTATATTCCTTCAATACTGTGTTTGCTCTTCTGGATTTCCCTTTTTATATCAGCCTTAGGAACAGTTCATCAATATCTACAAAATAACTTGTTGAAATATTGATTGGGATTGTGTTGAATCTCTATGTCAAGTTGGACAGAACCAACGCTGAGTCTTCCTAGCCATAAATATGGAATATCCATTTATTTAGTTCTTTGATTTCTTTCTTTGGAATTTTATAGTTTTACTTATACAGATCTTGTACATACTTTGTCAAATTTATACCTAAATATTTCAGTTTTGGGGGTGTTAGTGTAAATGATGTTGTGTTTTTAATTTCCAATTCTGCTGTTCATTGCTGGTCACAGTTAATTTTTGACCAAGGCACAAAGGCAATTCAGTGGAGAAAGAATAGTCTTTTCAACAGTGATGCTGAAATAAGTGGATATCCCTGTGCAGAAAAAAAAAAAGCAAAAAAAATCAAGCAACCAAACAAATGGACTTCACTTATATTTTGCACCTTATACAAAATGAATTTGTAATGGGCCATAGACCTAAATGCATAAAAATTCTGGAAACAGGAGATAATGTTTGTGACATTGAGTTAGGCAAGTTTTTAGCTACACTAAAAAAGACTTTCCATAAAAGGAAAAAAACTGTCAAAGTTTAAAAATTACTTCTTTCAAAAAGCACTGTTTAAACAGTGAGAAATAAACTGACAAACAGGGAGAAAATGTTTGCAAATCATATATCTAATAAACGATTGGTATCCACAATCCACTGTTACTCTCAAAACGCAACAAGGGGAAAATAGTTTTTAAAATGGGCAAAATGTTTGAATGGACACTTCACCAAAAAAAGATACACAAATGTGAAATAAGCACATGAAAAGCTGGTCAACACCATTAGTCACTGATGAAATGCAAAGGAGATGCCACAACACATCTCTTGGAGTGGCTGAAATTAAAAAGACTGGCCAAACCAAATGTTGACAGTGATATGGAGGAACTGGTACTGTCATCCACTGTGGCTAGGTATGTAAATAGAACAATCACTTTTAAAGACAGTTTGACACAGCCAGGCACGGTGGCTCATGCTTTTAATTCCAGCACTTTGGGCCAAGGCAGATGGATCGCTTGAGGTCAGGAGTTCGAAACCAGCCTGGCCAACATGACGAAACCCCATCTCTACTAAAAATACAAGTATTAGCCAGGCATGGAATCCCGTCTACTCTGGAGGTTGAGGCAGAAGAATCACTCAAACCCAGGAGGCGGAGGTTGCAGTGAGCTGAGATTGCGCCACTGCACTCCAGCTTGGGCATCAGAATAAGACTCAAAACAAAACAAAGAGAGTTTGACAGTTCCTTAAAAAGTTACAGATATGGCCAGGCGTGGTGGCTCACGCCTGTAATCCCAACTCTTTGGGAGGCCGAGGCGGGTGGATCACAAGGTCAGGAGTTCAAAACCAGCCTGGCCAGTATGGTGAAACCCTGTCTCTACTAAAAATACAAAAATTAGCCGGGCATGGTGGCACACACCTGTAGTCCCAGCTACTCAGGAGGCTGAGGCAGGAGTATCGCTTAAACCTGGGAGGTAGAGGTTGTGGTGAGCTGAGATCACGCCACTGCGCTCCAGCCTGGGGAACAGAGCAAGACTCTGTCTCAAAAAAAAAAAAAAAAAGTTACAGATATGCCTGCCATGTAGCCTAGCCATTTCACTCCTAGTGGTTTACCAAAGAGAAATGAAAGCGTATGTCCACGCAGACTTGTAAATGAATGTTTGTAGGACTTTCTTTGTAATAGACAAAATAGTCAAAAACTGGAAGCAATCCACGCAGCCATCAACCGGTAAATAGATAGAACAGACGGTGGCATATCCATGCAGTGGAGTACTACTGGGTGAAAAAAAGAACAGTGATACACACTACAGCATAGAGAAATCTCAAAATAATTACGCAGAGTGAAAGAAGCCAGATGAAAAAGAGGAATTACCATACAGTCCCATTTGTATATATCTCGGGAGAATGCAGACTAAGCTGCAGTGGCAGAAAGCAGGTCAGTTATTGCCTAGTGGGGACAGAACGAGATGTAAGGAGACAGGAGGTTTGGGGAGTGAGGTCACATGGGTACATACAAATGTCAAAACTTACCACAGTGTCCCTTTAAGCGTGTGCAGTTTATTGTATGTCAGTTGTACCGCAGTAACTCCAGGGGAAGAAATCACATGAGAAAATGCTTATATAAGTAAATGACAGAAAGCACCACAACTATATGAATTAGAAAAATTCAAATAAGTTAGAAGGATGCAAACAGTAAAGTTAAGAGCAGAAATTAGTTTTGTAAGCAACAAAGATGTAGCAGTGAGCAGTAACAAAGCCTCTAAGATGTCAGTACTTAGAGCAGGCAGGTTGATTAAAGTCAACAGAACCGGTGAGGCTGATCAAGAAGACAGAAGGCACTACCAAAACGTATCTGGAATGAAAACACGGATATCCTTCAGGGTCCAGCAGAGATTGCTACAGTGGAGAGTCCTAGACACTTCAGCACTGATAGGTTTTAAAACTGAGACAAAATAGAACATTTTCTAGAAAAGTGTACATTGCTAAAAGTGACTTAAGCATATGCAGAAAATTGGAATAGAACTCTGCCTATTAAATTAAATCACACACACACACACACACACACATACACACACACACAGAGAATAAATTAAGAAAATAGAAGGAAGGAGAGTCTGTGGAGAGAGGGGAAGTGGTTGGCCCAGACAACATTGAGTGAGTTCTAGACATCGTTTGTGGGATGATGATCCCCATTTTATGTAATATTTTCCAAGGATAGAAAAGTAGGGAAGAATTCTGCAGCTCATTGTGTGGCTCATAACTCAAAGGTTACTACAACCTTTATCTCCACACCAGACAAGGACAGTAAAGGAAAACAAAACAACAACATGTCATGGAAATACACATTTATACACTTACATTATCTTTAAAAATTTAGCAAGCCAAATTCTATTTTATATTTTTTAAAGCTTCATTAATTCCTCTTAAATCTATCATTTCAATGTGATTTTAATAAAAATCTTATTTTTTCATAGTACTTAAAAGTTGAATCCCAACATGGCAATAGAAAACTAACAATATAAAACCATAGTAATCAAAAGTGAGTGGTAATTTTCGGCAGAACAGTGGCACAACATACAATCTGAAAAGACCTGCAGACCCATGGGGCAGCACTGGTGATCAGGCCTGCCTGTGTTTAAAAGAAAATGTAAACTAGATGGAGGCTTGTCTCTCTCACAGAAAATTAAGTCCAAAAATAGGTGGCCCAGAGAAGCTCTGGTGGCTCCATGGTCTGGAGCCTGATCCCTCTTTGTCCCGCACCATCTAAGAGGTCTCTTCTGAGTTCAGGGTCTTCATAATCCCTAGAGCTGACGAAATCCCTGAGTACCCAGTCTGAATTCCAGGCACAGGGACACTTCAGCCAGCTCAGCTCATCATCCAGAGCTCAGGCACAGGGCTCCACTCGCTATGGGGCAGCTGGGGTGGCCGGGCTTACACACTCAGCCACCTGGAAGAGGACTGGGGCTCTGTCATGCAGGAGGAAGGGAAGAAAGGCAGGGCTGCAGCCAGCAGTCTGTGCTAGACGTGGTGCTCGCAGAAGACATGGACAAAGTAGCCAACGACCAGTCCTGGAGAAACAGGCTGTCTGTGCAGAGAAGCAGCCCACCATACACTATCCAAAGCACATGCTAGGACAGTTAAGGACCTGAGTATGCAGAGCAGTGCCTGGCAGTTGCAGGGTTCTTCAGTAAGGCACAGAAAACCCCAATTATAAAGAAAAGTGAATAAATTTGACTAAATTAAAATTTCAGGAATTATTTACTATAACCCACATATTTGGAAAAGAAAAGCCACATATTGGGAAGAGATTTCTGATGTCTCATGTGACCAACAAAGGATTCGACTTGGTTACAGGCTGACTCCTGCACCTGCATAGCACAAAGCCATCCATTTGGAGGATCCTTGCTGGGGCGTGGGGATGTCACACACATAAATGCAGGAGTCGGGGCTCATGGACCTGAACCCTTCAGATCCAAGCCTTTTATTATATAGTAATTAGACTTTACCTCAAGGAAGAAACAAACACAAGCTGATAGAACCTAGCATGGGTGGGCCAAGAAATAGCAAATGGCCAGAAAAGTTGCCCGGAAAGAGCCCTGGTGGCCAAAATGATGCCAGTTGGCTGCAGCTGTGTCCCTGCTCTGGGAGAGTTGAGAGTGGGGAGCAGCCACCTTGGAGGGCCAGGTGGATGGGGCTGGGTGAGGCTGAACTGTTCCCCTTACACAGGACACAGTGACAGGCAGAGGGCCCAGGGCCATGGTAGGTTGGGGGTGGGGTGGGAGCCACAGCACTGCCATTGGAGGTCACCAGGGTGTCCATCCCACTGGCAGGCAGTTTGGCGGTGAATGCAGCCCCAGAGAGTTGTCCACAAGACCATGGGGTGAGAGGCTCCCATGGGGTTGGCCACCCCACGGTGATTATGTTGGCGCGGGAGCCGTGGGAAGGAACGAGAGTCTTGGTTCAGATGACCTCGGCCTGTGTCCTCAGCTGCACAGAGCTGTGGGAACAAACAAGACCATCCAGAGGAGGACCAGCAGCCTGTCTATTCAGAGTCGGCTATGGCAAGGGGGCCAGAGCACTGTGTTGGGCAGACTCAAAGGCACGCACAGGAAGGGGGATGGCTTTATTGTAGGGAAAGGGGGAGGCTTTGGGTATGTTCTGATGGAGGTAGGGGAAGCCAAGATGGGCTCTGCAGAAGGTGGCCTCCCGTGCAGCTGCTTGAAGAACCCAGGGGCATCTCTGGCTGGTCCTGGGTTGAAAGCAGGAAGGAATGGGCGTGGGGCAACCACTAGGAAGCTGTAGTCCTTCCTGAAAGCCTGGCTGACTGGGCCGAGTGCTGTGGAGGCTGTGGTTTGGGTCAGAGTAGTTCTCCTGCCCTGTGTGGTCTGGCCGACGTCTGTCTGCAGCTCAGTCTCTCAGGCCGGGCCCTTTACTGAATCAGGGGACAGATCAGATGATAGCAGTCTGGACTCTGTTCCTAAAGAAATGGCACAAGGAAAATGAAAGACGAAGAAGGCCAGGCACAGATGCCTAGACCCGGGTGCACTGAGCCGAGGCCATGCTGTGAGAGTGGGGACACCTGTAGGTTCCTTGGGTGTCAGCCAAACACACTTCATGGCACGCTGTGAGTGGGCACCTCCCATGGGGTCCGCAGGACAGGTGGCTGTGGACATGTAGTGGGTATCTCTAGGAGACGTCCTGCCTGCAGTCTTGGCAGAGCTTTACTTGTTTTATTTGCATGGACGCTGACTGTGTCTGACACCCTCTCGCTGGCGCTAGGCGATTTCATCCTGATGAAGTTTGTCCCAGCTGTCCTTTGTGAGGTGCATTAGTGGAAGCTGGTGCCACACCATTTCCCACCCAGGGCCTCTGCAGAGCTGTAGACACTCTTGGAATTCTCTTTCAAAGCATACGTTCAGAATTAATGACTCCTAACAAATGAAGGTTTCTGCAGGATCACTGCTTTAAAGTTTGCCCAGAAGACCTAATTCAGCTTAAAGATGCTGAGTCCATAGAGGCTTCTAATCTGTAGAAGAAAGGGGCCTGTGTTTCTTAGAGGTATTGAATCATTTCATGCTTTTTCTGTAAGTTAGGGAAACCTTCATTTTCATTTCCATTTTGGAAGGTGGAAGGAATGTGTCATAGGAATTGGAGGATTTGTCCATTCGACACATATTTATTGATCTTCTGTATGTGCCAGGTACATATTGTAAGTGCTGGGATAGGTCAGTAAAGAAAGCAGACAGAAACCTCTTCCTGCACTGGGGTAGGATGGGAGCAGAGAGTCCAACATGGATCTGTAAATTATGTGGAAGTCAGAATGGGGTTGGAGGGCTTGGGCGGCAGGGAAGGGAGACCTCAGGCAGCAGGTAAGCAAAAGGCTTGAGTGGCTGGGAAGGGAGGCCTCCCTCAGAACGGCTTTTGTACAGGGACCTAAAGTGGGGGCAGCCATGGCTGCCTCTGGGATTGGTGTTCCAGCTGGTGGACCTGTGGACAGAAGCTTTGGGCAAGCAGCAAGGAGGTCCCTGAGGGTGGCCAGAAGCTTGGGGACAGGTGCAGGGTGAGAGGTGACAGGGCTGGGGGATCTGGCCGGAGGACTGCTGGCATTTTCTTGGGAGCCACTGGACTGTTTTGTGCCAGGGAATGGCCTGTGCTGGCCCACGTGTTCACAGGGGTCAAGAGGAGAGGGCTTGGGGCAGGCACCGGGTTCCCCTTAGGAGAGGGCGTCATGACACAGGCAGGGGGGCATGACTTGACCCATGGCGTAGCAGTGGCAGTGGCCAGAAGTCAGGTCCTATATCTCTTCCAAAAGTGGATCCCAGGTGATCTGCTGATGACTGCTGTGACAGGGATGAGCAGGGTGAGGGTGACCCCAGAGTGGGGACTGAGCAGCTGGAGGTCAGTGCTGGGGCATATCCAGAATGAGGCGTAAACAGGTGAGGTTGGCGGCTGTTTGTCATGTGCTGCCTACCCCACTTGCCAGCTCTGCCCTGCTAGGTTCTTGAGGGGGCATGGAGTGGCCCTGAGACTTCAGGCCTCCAAATACAACTGTGGGCATTGTCAGGCAGAGGCTGTGCCACGGAGTGAGTGACAGAGGGGGGATATATGGAGGCTGGTTCCAGTCTGGGCGTCAGCCTCCTCCAGTCTCAAGTCCTGCCACATCCGCAGATCTAAGCCCGAATGTTTCTCATCTGCCCTGGCCTCCCTGTCCCCACACTGCCCAGTCGACCTTCATTTCTGACCTGTACTGCTGAGCGTCTTCCCCTGCAGCGTGTGCTGAGCATCTTCCCCTGCAGTGCGTGCCACACTGTGCTGAGCGTCTAACCCTGCAGCGCGTGCCACACTGTGCTGAGCATCTTCCCCTGCAGCCTGTGCCACACTGTGCTGAGCGTCTTCCCCTGCAGCCTGTGCCACACTGTGCTGAGCGTCTTCCCCTGAAGCGCATGCCACACTGTGCTGAGCGTCTAACCCTGCAGCGCGTGCCACACTGTGCTGAGCGTCTTCCCTTGCAGCCTGTGCCACACTGTGCTGAGCGTCTTCCCCTGCAGCGTGTGCCACACTGCTGAGCGTGTAACCCTGCAGCGCGTGCCACACTGCTGACGCCACTTCGTAAAATGCGCATGCGCCAGCCCCTCCCCTGAGACACTCCATGAAATTAGATTGGGCCACTCCAGAGGCCTCTCTCTGCCATCTGAATACCGCCCCCTCCCTCATCAAGCTCCTGGCTGCTTAGGGGCCCCTGCCCTGCCCCTCTGCCCTGGCTGCCCTTGCTGCTGTCCTGTGTCCCCTGCCCCCCAGGCTGGGACATGCGTTCCTCCCTCAGCCTCACAGCCCCCTCCTTTGGGGCTAAGCTTCAGGGTCACCCCAGGAGCATTCCTTCAAGTACATACACCCCTTTTTCTTTTTCACAGAACCCCGCCCTTTCTCCCAAATTGATTTTACCTCAATTTATAGTTCTTCATTTGTCTTTTTATTGCATTATTGTTTAGCTCCTGAGCTGTATCTCCCCCCAGGTACTTCACACCCTGTGTATGTAGCGCCCAGCAAAGGGTGCTCCAGACACAGCAACTCCCAGGCTGAGCAGAGCATCTCTGCTCTTTGTGGGGCTCAGAAAGAGAGAACAGGCATATTGTGAAGGCATGTGTGTGTTGGAGCTGATAATGAATACCTAAGTTGCCATTGGCATGCATCATTGGTGTCATGCATGTCAGCTGCACACGTGCAGTCGCTGTAAATCCCCACACCCTACCTGCCTGTGCATTCAGTGCCATTGTCACTTGCAGAGAACAGGAAATAAGCAGTTTAATGTTTTGAAGGACCTCTTGAAGAGCTGTCCTTTTTTAAGAAGTATAGTGGTCCCCGCTTCTCCGTAGATGTGTCTCAAGACCCCCAGTAGACTCCTGAAACTGTAGATAGTACTGAACCCTGTACGTGCTGGTATTTTTCCTGTAAGTACCTTCCTATATAAAGTTTAATTTATGATTAGACACAGTAAGAAATTAACAGTCACTAATAATAAAATAAGAGTGACTTGAACACAAGCACAGTGATGCTGTGGCCATCAATCTTATCACCAAGGCGACTGCTAATGGGCCAGCGGCATCTGCAACGTGGATGGTTCACATCCCGGGCTGGACAGCACAAGATCGCACCACACTCCTCAGAACGGCATACAGTTGAAAGTCTGGAAGTGTTTATTTCTGGAATTTTTCATTTAATATCTTCAGATCACGGTTGACAGTGAGTAACTGAAACCTCTGAAAGTGAAACCTCAGATAAGGGGACCTGCTATAATTAAATATGTAATTTCCTTTCTGATATTTCCCACAGATTTCTCACAAGAAACATATGTGGCTCATTGATTGTGGGAAAACGTAATGGTAAAAACAAACACAGTGTAAAATAACTTTTAAGTAGATTTTTGTCTTTGTGATCGTAAGCTGCTAAATCAGTCTGTTAACTTTTTGTTGCACTCCTTCGTCAGTTGGTTGGGATCCTGCGGAATTGCCAGTGCATCCCTGTAACCACGCAGGCTTGGGCTGGGCTGCGTCGACACTGAGTCCGAGCTCCCTGAAGACTGTGCTTTCTTCTCCCTCCAGCTGGAACGTGGTGGGCATCCAGGGATCCCTGCTCAGCATTTTCGTGGAGCCCATTTACTTCTCGAGCATCATCCTGGGCAGCCTTTACCACGGGGACCACCTTTCCAGGGCCATGTACCAGCGGATCTCCAACATAGAGGACCTGCCACCTCTCTACACCCTCAACAAGCCTTTGCTCAGTGGCAAGTATCTCTAGAGTGTGCTGATTTAATCTCTGTCTTGATTTTGCAATGTTTTCATCCTCATGAATGAAAAAAACACCACCTGAGCTGCTCTGTGGCTATCAAAAGAACATCAGAGTCCTTCTAAAGAGACCCAAGGTGATGTTTCTGAGGCTCTCCGGGCCTTGTCTCTAGGGCCTTTTAAGTGAGTCTCTCTGTAAGATTAATCTCCTTTACCAATCACAAACCTAGCCATTCATAGAAGAATTGATGGGTTCACACCTGTCATCCCAACACTTTGGGAGGCCAAGGCCTAGTGGATTGCTTGAGCCCAGAAGTTCAAGACCAGCCTGAGAAAAATGGCAAAACCCCATCTCTACAAAAAATACAAAAAAATCAGCCAGATGAGGTGGGGCATGCCTGTGGTCCCAGCTACTTGGGAGGCTGAGGTGGGAGGATCACCTGAGCCCAGGAGGTCAAGGTTGCAGTAAGCCAAGATTGTACCACTGCACTCCAGCCTGGACAACAGAGTGAGACCCTGTCTTTAAAAGAAAGAAAGAAAGAAAGAAAGAAATGAAAAATGAAAAGAATGAAATTATGACTGGGCTGGGCACCTGTCTGTTTTCCTCTCACTCAGGCACTGTATTCATTCCTGTCTCAGCAGCAGAGACTCAACAGACACTGAAAATTATGTCAGCATTGGCTTTCCCAGACTAACCCTGAGCCAGGTCTCCGGGACGTTTACGCTGTCTTAGAGCCACCAGGGTGTCCACAGCGGTGAGCTGCCTAGAGCCTGCCCTGGGCTCCCTGGAGAGGCCCTGTTGGCTCCGAGAGATGGTGACAGGTGGAACCAGGGGTGCCAATGGCAGGCAGAGGCTGTCTCCCTGGTGTCTGCACCTACCCTCGATTCCCTTCATTGCTGGTTTTCTTTTTTCTTTTTTTAGAATTTCAGTGGCTAACAGTAAAGTGAACAGGAGCTTTTGAATTCAAAGGTCCTAACTTCTAAGCTCACCTTTATTTAAAAGGACACAGTTAAGGTATTTTTATCTTTTTAAACATATAATTTCACTACTTTTTTAAAAGCTCAAAACTAAAACCATAATCCTAACCTGAAACACGTTTATTTTGGGGTGTGTGTGTGCTTGTGTTTGTGCTGCCTTGTTTTCTAGTGCCTGGCAACTAGCACGCCTTTAATTTGAGAAAAAGCAGTGTGGAATTTTATTTGAAAGCATGCCTGTCAGAGCACATGAAGGAGGCAGGGATGGGGAAAAACAGTTGTCTTTAATTAAATTTTACAGTTCCGTAACTTAACCATTGTGTTTTAAGAAAAACAAAATAGATAAAACTTGATGGTAGGTAGGTTGAAATTGTAGCATCAATGTCTTTTGAAGTATTTTGTTGTGTATTGGTGTGTGAATTTCTCATGATTCAGAAAATTTCCCTCTTTGCTCTCTGTCTTCTGTACTTGAGCAAAGAGTGCTTTAATTTTAGCTGTCACTCATCTTTTATATGCATAGATACTTAAAACATTGCATGTGGAATATGGGACACATAGGTGATACTCAAAAATAGTTGTTAATTAGGGCCTTGTTGAATAGCGCTGTCTAAGCAATATCTCATCCGTAACTAAAATCTGCAAAGACAGAATCATTTTGCTAAAGAAATTTTCTAAGATATTGAAAGTAGAGCTCATTTATAAAAGTCAGTGTATTTTTATCATATTTCACTTATGTGAAAAGCATCTATATCTGTTAAAAGACCTTGAAAGATAGTGTCTGCAAGATAGAGACTTCAAAGTTACTGATGCTGCTGTTTATCCTTTCCTCCTCAATATCTTCTCTGGTCTTTTTTTTTTTTTTTTTTTTTTTTTTTTTTTGAGACAGAGTCTTGCTCTATTGCCCAGGCTGGAGTGCAGTGGCGTGATCTTGGCTCACTGCAGCCTCCACTTCCCAGGTTCAAGCAATTGTCCTGCCTCAGCCTCCCAAGTAGCTGGGATTACAGGCGTGTGCCACCACAGCCAGCTAATTTTTGTATTTTTAGTAGAGACGGGGTTTCACCATGTTGACCAGGCTGGTCTTGAATTCCTGACCTCAGGTGATCTGTCCACCTCAGCCTCTCAAAGTGCTAGGATTACAGGCGTGAGCCACCGTGCCTGGCCTCCGTTATCTCTAATCTTGATAGCCTAAAGCACATTACCAAACCCCTCCCCTGGTCCCCGCTGCAGGGGGCTGTGCCGAGCTGATTCAGCAGCAGCAGAGAGAGCCTGGGTTGGAGCCATGAGGCTGCCCCTGCGTCAGCTCTGCCTCCTTGGAAGCTTCTGTGTCTCGGGTTCTTCATACGCCCAGTGGCAGGGATGGACCAGGCACCCCTTGCAATCCTTCTGGACAAATGTGCCACTGTCCTATGAAAATAAAAGGACACCACTCAAGCTCCAGGAGGCAGAACCTTAACTCAAATCTGAGCCAATAAACAATGTCACTCTAGCACCAAAGTCTATTTCAAAATGCAAACTATTTGAAATATCTTATTTTTGGTAAATGCTTTATTTTGGAAATGGGTTTTTGTTGTTGTTTCCCTGAAGAGAGTTCAGATCAGCAAAGCAAGTAGCTTTGGAGAAGACACCTTTAGACGAGGACTCCTGTGAATCAGCAGGACAGCGTAGCAGGACATTAGGTGAGCCACAGGGTGGAGCAGGATGGGAGGGCAGAGGCTTCTGCTTCAGAATTGAAGCCGAAGGCAAGTAATGCTGTGGGTGTTACTGGAGACAAAAGGAACCAAACAAGAAAAATCTGGAGAGGCAAATGTTGATGTCTTAATAGATTTGGGAGGTCACACTCTTTAAAAATGGGTCCCAAAGCAAAGCTCTCAAAACTTCATTAAAAGAAAAGTCTTACATTTGACAAGTGACCTGGACAGAGGAGCTACCAGGACATTGGCCCCCTTGCTGTGCACCTGCACTGTGCATCACAGCTCACGTCGTGTTTGTTACACTTTGTCACCTCACATTTTATTATAAAGGTCATTCCCGTGTTAAAAAGAGAGCGCGGTATGACAGCGCCTAGTGAATTGTAGTGTCTTTAGGGAGGAACAAAAATGGACATAAATGAATACAAAGAAAAGATTACCTGAAACTGGGAGCAAATCAAAGTAAAAATGTAGGGATAGGGTGTTGCTTTCTTTTAAAAAGATAATGCTGTCAGGATTAAAGTGAGAAGAATTTAATTTTCATTTCAGCCTGAACACTAGTTTTACTTTCAGAAAGGTTCTTGGTGCCAAGCTGTGACACTTTTGCCTTTGTGGGTATACACACTTGGTACCCTTGCTTAGCACTGTGGAAGAGGAAGTCTCTCGAGCTTTCTCAGACTTTCTCTCAAATGAGTTTCACATCCAGCACTTGCAAGTTTCAGGACAATTCCAGCTTCTTATTTATGTCCATTGATCTCCTGAGTGTGAGCTCCTCAGCTGGCCCAGTTTGTTGTCCAACGCTCACTAAGATAAACCAAGAAGAAGGAGCAGGGTGCCCAAATGCCGCATGCGATGGCTCTGGGGACCTTGTTGACAGACAGCCTGCTCCGGGGTTTGCAGACAAGGCTTCCTATCCTGCTGGTTTTCATGTTGAATGTTGGCACGAAACGTTAACAAACAAGGCTACATGATGGGGTAGGGTCCTTGTGAAGAGCTTGCATTTAGGTATCTCTGGGAGGACAGCACAGGGACCCAAGGGGGCTGGCAGCAGGCCCAGGTGTGTGGCAGGAAGAAGGCAGGTGCCTGCTGAGCTGCTATCCACCCGAGACCATTTGACATTATGGGCAGGAAGAGCAAGGGAAGCTGGTTTAATGAGGCCCTGGCTGGAGTGAGAGAGAAGGAACATCACTGTGAGAGTGTGGAAAGTGTGTGTGTGTATGTGTGCGTGTGTGTGTGTGTGAGTGCATGTGAGTGTGTGCATGAGTGCGTGTGTGTATGAGTGTGTGTGCATGTGTGTGTGCACGCTCACATGAGTGTATGAGAGAGAGAGTGTGTGTGTGTGTGTATGCGTATTCTCCAGGTAAGAGCAGGCACCGGGGTTGTGGGAAAGAGGTGTCAGTAATGTGAGTTTCCTCCTTGCCCTGGTTTCTAGGAGGAGTGAACGTGCCATGAGTCATTGTAGAAGAGAACGACCACCAAGCTTGGCTCCAAGTACAGAATCATTCTTTTCATCTGACAATTTTTCTTTCCATTTTACTTTCTGTTTTCCTCCCCTTTGCTTTTGCTGGACCGATTAAATTGTCTTTCCCCTTTCTTCCGACTGGTGGGAAGTTCTAAATCTTATTTCTATTCTGACCAGTGGTTACCCCAATTTTTTAAAACAAATATGTTTAAATCACTTTGAAAAAATGTTGGCATCAAGAATTAATATTTGTAAAGATCCAAACTTGGGAAAAGCTGAAATATTGGGCTCATTTTTATTCCACACTCTTCCCATCCTCATCTTCCTAGATTCTGATGACATCATCTTGAGTTTTAGAAACTCATTTTATCGTGCTTTTTTTTTAAAAGCCTTTCGTAATGAGTCACATAGCCTCATGATCAACAATTGTTTAGATGAAGCCGTAAGAGCTCCTGGTTTCTCTTCTAACCAGTTTTCTGTAGCCAGTGCTCCTGCCCTTAACTCCACATCCAGATTTATTTTTCACTTTGCTGGAATATATCCTTAATTGGGGTGACAGGGTGATTTCTTGGTTGGTTGTTTTTGTTTGGTTTTTGGAGAAAAGTCCTGTGTGGGTGGGGCCCTGGATCTTGATGTTACCTGGCCCTTGCCTGTGTGCCAGGTGGACTGGGGACTGTGGATGTCTGGGCTCTGCCCTACCCCAAGGACACGTCAAGACCTCCATGCCACCCCTCCATGGTCACCCTTTGTCACAGAGCCAGTTTGAGTTTCTTTCCTTTCTAGAAGGTACCTCCTTGTTTTCTCTCCTGTAGCGTTACATTTATCTATTTTCCCTAAAATTCAGGAATTTCAACAGATTAAGCCTAGGTGTGTGGTTAGTTTGTTTGAGTTTCTTTCCTACTTACTACCCTGAACCCTCTGATCTGGATTGTTGAGTCTTCACTTCTGAGAAGTTTCCTTCTGTCCTGTCACTTCTGCTAGAAGCATCTTCTCTGCCCTCTCTGTTGTCCCTGAAAATGCTGCTGAGCAGAACTCACAGGCCTGTGACCAGTGTCTCTCCTCTCATCTGATGTGCTTTTTTGACTGTACTGCATTCTAAGAGAATGCCTGACTTCTGTCACCATCTCAGGAGTGAACTGTTTTCCCCGCGGAGCAGGCTCCCCGGGAGCTCATGCCTGGCCCACTTCCCTGCACCACGGCCGCCACACGGCTCCGTCTCTTGCTCTAGTTCTCCTTTCTGGGAGAGTGACTCCATTTGGGGCTCGTCATCTCTGTTGGGTTTTCAGTGGCTGCATTTGGGGTTCCTCATGTCTGTTGGGTTTTCAGTTCTCCTTTTGCATACTGAGAGAACAACTTTCTAGTGATTGGAACTGTCTAGAAAAGTTTCCTGAAAGGAATTGAGCTCCCCTGACTGGAAGAGTTCAGGTTGGAATTGGATGGACACTGTTGTTACGGACACGGTGATAGGGGATCTGGCTGAAAGGATTAACCCACGTGATCTCCAGGTGTCTTCTAAACTCGAGATCCTACGGAGTGCAGTTTGCTTGTTTTTAAATTCTCTGTGCAGATGACTGTAATGCTACAGTACAGTTACCATTACCTATTGTATCAATGACACTTTTGAAGGTTTTTAAAAATAATAATAGTTACACTTCACTGACTGCCGTCCTCAGGCCATCTCCCGGGCATGCATGTGCTCAAGTCAGGAGCCAGATTCTTACATGCTTCCCTGAATCCACGCCGCAGCCCTGTGGGCCGGGCCTGCCGTCACCCTTCACAGTGGAAGCAGCCGCAGCCGGCAGACACCACGAGGCTTGCAGCTCACAGCCATATTCCACTGTCCCTAGGACAAGTACAGCTTGAACCCACATCCCACCTTTCACCACCCCAAGCCTTGCCTCCCATGGACGAAGACAGTGCACGAGAGTGCCTTGGGGCTCCCCCAGGAGCTGCTTCAGGAAAAGGAGGAGCTGGCAGGATCACTGTGAGCCTCTCAGCCCCACTCCCCCGGCTGCTCCCCTTCATCTACATCCAGTTAGCATCTCCTGCCCATGCAGCTCTCTGGACATGAGCCCACCTCACTCAGGACCACAGCTCTGAGGCTCCTTCCACAGCTGGTGTTCTAAAACCCTGAGGTCTCCTTTGAGAAAGGACTGTTATGTGGCCAGAGGTCCTCTGTGTAAAGCCCTCAGCACCTGGCTGGGGTTAGTGGACAACCAGGACAAGGCACTTCCGAGCTGGCAGAGAAAGCCTGAGAGCAGCCCTGGGGAGTGGGCTGGAAGGGTCAGGAGAACCCAGCCATCTTGCTCTGTACGGATTCTAATGGCTTGTGTTTATTTCTCTGTCAGCTCAAGGGCTGCCCTTAAGACGATCACAATGAAAGGCTCAAAGGTGCTCTGCTCTCAGCTTAAATGGCAGGTTGGTTTTGGACCCAGAGGGGCTCAGAGGCTCCCTCCTGTGTTGCATGGCCTGTATCATCCTCACTGGGGGTGCTGTGCACAGTTTTCCTTATACTGTAACTTATGCCCAGGTCTTGACTCTTTCTTATTTGCAGAATAAAGGCCACTTTCAGTCGAGATTGTAAGTACACATTTTCCTTGATCCACTAATGAATGTCTGATAGTTTCTATAACATGAACCCATAATAACCCTAAAATATCCATTAATCATTATGTATATTATTCATTTTTGATTACCCTACTGTATGAGGAACCTATTGGAAAATACCTTTAGGGTAGAAATAAGAAAAAACATCAATGCCAGCTCTTCTGAGTTTTTTAATTGTAGCAGTTATTAGGCCAATTCACAGTTTCTCTGTGTTTTTGCTTTAAAAGTTCTGATTCAGCACACTTAATTTACAACAACAGAGGGATTCTCGTTACCAGCCAAGTTGTTCTTGCTTTTATTGGTTTCTGTACCGCGGCCTGGGATTAACTCATTACCCTAGTTCCCTCTTTGCAGGCTGGAAAGATAAGCATCTCACTCACGTCAGCCCCCACACTGCACTGGCCTCAGGGACTCGTAGACGTATGCGCTTATGACCATTTAGGGGCTTTCTGCCCCAGAAAAAGCGTATGGTTAGTATTGGAAGCTCGGGCTATTTTCTTTTTTCCTTGTTTCCTCCATTTTTGTTTCAAGATGGGACTTGATTTAACTTAAAATATAAAAAATATTTTGTACTATTGGGATCTTATATTTTTTGTTAATCATTTAGTTTTAGTGAAAAATATTGTAATTCTAAGGTTTAAGTATCATTCAACAGTAATCCTTTATTTTGATGAGAAGTAGTGGAATTGCAAAGGAAGATAATATAAGCGTTATCCATTTGTTTATGAAAGATTCAATTCCATTATGGTCAGAGATTCCCCAGCAGTTTAAATGGACACCCTCTCTTCTAGCCATTCCCCCACAAAAGAAATCCTTCCTGATTCTGTCTGCTTGAAGGGTGTGACCTTGAACATGCTCCTGGGGCTGCCGCCTCTACAGAGTGACAGCTCAGGGACCTGCAGGAACTCAGAACATGCAGGCAGGTGCTGGAGGTAGGGCAGGTGTGCTGGTAAGATGGATGACCTCAGTTCCACTGGCAAAACTGTGCCACAGGAGAAACCTGAGCGTGTGGTAAAAACCACCCCAGCAGCAATCAGTAAATGCAGGAACAGTGACCTCAGGAAGACATGAGGCTCCTACCAGTGCCTGTGATGAGGCCAGCCCAGCCCTGTGTGTGGTTAGGGCACACCTGACCACCCCGACAACCAGGGAAGGACGGTGTTGGAGCTCTGAGTTCTTGGCATGAGGACATGATCTTGGCTGATTGTTTTCCTTCAGACCTTCTGCAGAATTGAATGCACATCAAAGAAACAAGCAGAAGAAACCATGCCAGCTACTTGTATTGAATAAAAGTATTTTACTTACAAACTTGGATTATCAAACTTATGAGGAAAATAACACAAAAGAGAAAGATCTATATGAGAAAACAGAACAACTGAAAGAAACAATTTAGAAAACAAGAGAAATAAGTAATGATAAATCTTATTAGTATGTTATTTAGTAAGTGCTGAAATCAAATATTAATTTGAAGGTCTAGAAAATATTCAGTATTTTTTGAGTGTGCAGTGGGCATGGTTCTGGGTGTTGGGATTTTGCAGTGCACAGGACAAACAAAACCTCTTCCTCATGGAGCTTTTGCTCTGATGAGGGCAGGGGGATGGTGAAGTCAGATAAGTCTCAGATAACTTGGAACAGAAAGGCAGAATTATGAGACAGTGGCCAGGGTGCTGCCCAAAACCTACCCAATCAGAATCTCAGAGGTAGGATTCAATGTGCTTATTGTTTAAAGCTTCATATCTGATTCTACTGAACATATCTGCTTAAGAACTACAAAATATATATTGGCTGTCTCTGGGTTTTATAGCTTTAATTTTCTAAGGTTTGTGTGAATTTTTGGAATTGTCCATAGTGAGCAAATGTTATTTTTTTAATGAGAACAATTTTTTTTATTTTTAAATTATCTTTAGTGTCTTTTCACAACTTTATTGAGGTATAATTGGCATATGATAAACTGCATATTTAAAGTATACAATTTGATACATTTTGGCCTATGTTTAGGTCTGTGCAACCATCACCACAATAAAGATAATGAGTATACTTAATCCACTTCAAAATTGTCTTAGTACTCCTTCATAATCCCTCCCTCTCCCCGATCCCCATTCCCATCCCCAGTATGTACCATCTGTCTATATAGATGAGTTTGCATTTTCTGGGATTTTACATAAATGTCATCATAAGGTTTGCACCGTTTTGGTCTAGCTTATTTCACTCAGTTTAATCACTTGGAGATTGATCTATGTTGTTGGGTTTATCCATAGTTCATTCCTTTTCATTGCTAAGTAGCATTGCACTGGGTGGATAAACCACAATTTGTTTTTCCCTTGAAATATTGATGGATATTTAGGTTGTCTCCAGTCTTTTAATATTATAAAGCTGCTGAGAACATTTCTGTACAAATCTTTGGGCGCTTACTTCCATTTCTCTTTAGTAGATACCTAGGAGTGGAATGGCTGAATCCTAAGATAGGTGTATGTTGAACTTTTTAGAAAACTATTAACCTGTTTTCCAAAATGGTTGTACCATTTTCACATTACCACCACTAGTGTGCGGGAGTTGTAGTTCTGTCACTTATATGCCGGCACGCAGTACGAGCGGTTGCTTTAGAAATTTTAGCAGGTGTTTAGTGATATTCCATTGTGCTTTTAATTTGCATTGCTCTGATGACTAATGAAGTTGAATGCCCTTTCACATGCTGATTTGCCATCCCTGTGCCTTCTTCAATAAACTGTTCAAAACTTATGCACATTTTTACTGAGTTGTTTAACATCTTATTACTGGGTTTTGAGAGTTATTTATATTTTCTAGATACAGATCCTTTATCAGATATATGATTTGAAAAATGCTTTCTCCCAATCAGTGGCTTGTCTTTTAATTCTCTTCATAGTGTCTTACGCAAACCACATAATTTTAATTTTGACAAAATCTAATTTATAGAAATTTTCTTTGATGGATCATGCTTTTGATATTATGTCTAAGAAATATTTGCCTAAGTCAGTACTACAAAGATTTCTTCTTATATTCTTGGAAATTTTACAGTTGCAGTTTTTACATTTAAGACTATATTTCACTTGAGTTCATGTTTGTGTAGGGTATGAAGGATGAACTGAAGTTCATTTTTTGGCATGTAAGATATCCAGTTGATTTAGCACCATTTAGTGAAAGGTTCCTCATTTCTTCATGGAATTGCCTTGTGCCCTTGTCAAAAATCAGCTGGCATGTATATATACATGTGGGTCTGTTTCTGGACTCTGTTGTTTGCCTTTAATCTCTTTGTCTAAAGGCCAGTATTACATTGTCATGATTACTATAGTTTTATTATAAGTTTTGAGGTCAGGTAGAGTTAGTCTTCCAACTTTGTACTTTTTCAAAGTTGTCTTGGCTGCTTAGGTCCTTTTTGTATTTCCATAGCAATTTTATAGTCCACTCATCAGTTCTACATCCTTATTGCACTGGTTAGGACCTCCAGTACAATGTTGAGTAGAAGTGATGACAGCAGACATCCTTCTCTTACATGTCATCTTGGGGGAACACATTCAGTCTTTCACCATTAGGTATGATGTTGGCTGTAGGATTTTTTATTGCTGTTTTTTGTTTTAGAGACAAGGTCTCACTCTTTCACCCAGGCTGGAGTGCAGTAACGTGATCATAGCTCATTGTAACCTGAAACTCCTGGGCCCAAGTGATCCTCCTGTCTCAGCCTCCTGAGTAGCTGGGACTACAGGTGCATGCCACCATGCCTGGTTCATTTTTAAATTTTTTATAGAGACAATGTCTTCCTATGTTGCCCAGATTGGTCTTGAACTCCTGGCCTCAAGCAACCCGCCTGCCTCAGTCTCCCAAAGTGCTGAGATTATAGGAATGATCCACCATATCTGGCTGCTGTAGGTTTTTTACAGATGTCTTTATCAGCTCAAGACATTTTTTTTTTCTATTTATAGCTTACTCAGCGTTTTTAATCAAGAATGTATGCTGGATTTTGTCTGATGCTTTTTTTCTGCTCTTAGATGACTGTTGTCATTGCAGTGACTTAGGCCTATAGTCCCAGCTACTTGGGAACTAAGGCAGGAGGATCACTTGAGCCCTGGAGTTTGAGGCCATCCTGGGCAATGTAGTGAGACCCCATCTGAAACAACAACAACAAAAAATGAGATGAGCATTTAGTTCATTTTTCAGTTTGCTAGTGGTGACGTTAAAAAAAAATTAAACCAACTTTGCATCTTGGGATAAACGTTATATGGTTATTATGTGCTATTCTTTTTATATATTGTTGGATTCAGTTTGCTAAAATTTCATTTAGAATTTTTGTATTTATATTTGTCTGTAGGGATATTGGGCTATCATTTTAGTTTAATGTCTTTGTCAGGCATAAAATGAGTTGGGGTGCATTTCTTTCTCTTCAGTTTTCTGGAAGAGTTTGTTTGGATTTGGTATTATTTCTTTAAATATATGGTTAAATTCACCAGTGAAACCATTGGGCCTGAAGTTTGCTTTGTAAGAAAATTCTAACTACAATTTATTTTTCTATAATAGATTTAGGGCTATTCATGTTATCTGTTTTTATCTTTTTTCTTGAGTAAGCTTCAGTAATTTGTCTTTCAGGGAATTTGTCCATTTCATCTAATTTGTCTAATATATTGGCATAAAAGCATTCAGAATATTCATTTTAATATCTGTGATATCTCTAATGATATCGTCTTATCCCTTATATTGATGATTTGTATCTTCTCTTGGTTGTTTTTTTCTGATCAGTCTAGCTGGAAGTTTTTCAATTCTGTTTGTCTCTAAGTGCCAACTTTTAGGTTCAGTGATTTTTGTCTTTTGTTTTATATTTCAATAATTTTTACTCTGATTTTAATTATTTCTTTTTTTTCCGCTTACCTGGTGTTTCAATTGCCCATCTTTTTGTAGTTTTTTAAGGTGCTAGTTGAGGTCATTGTTTTAAGACCCTTTTTACTGCTTTTGTAGCATTTAAAAATTATGATATGTTTTCATTTTCACTTATATTAAAATACTTTGTCCCTTGGGTTATTTAGAAGTCTGCTATTTAGTTTCAAAATACTAGGGATTTTACAGAGATCTTTCTGTTGTTGGTTTTTTAGTTTCATTTAATGACTTCAGTCCTTTTAAATTTATTAGACTTGGTTTTATGGACCAGAATATGATCTATCTTTATAAGTGTTCCACAAAACTTGAAAGAATGTGAATCTGCCACTTTGGGGTAGAGTGATCTGTAAATGTTGATTAGGCCAAGTTGTTTGATTATACTATTTATTTTCTTTTATATTCTTACCGATCTTCTACTTGGTCTATCAGTTATTGAGAGGCAGGATTGAAAATCTCTTAGTTATAATTGTACATTATCTATTTCTTCCCCTTTTTTAGAGTTTTTACTTCCTGTATTTTGTAGCTCTGTGATTAGATGCATAAAAATGTAGGATTGTTGGTTTATCTTAATAAACCGACCTCCTTTACCATTATATGATGACCCTCTTTATTTCTGGTAATAGTGTTTGTTCTGAAATTTGTTTTGAGATTAATATAACCTCCTCAACTTTCTTTTGATTAGTGTTAGCACAGTGTATCTTCTATCCCTTTATATTAAAGTACTTTATCTTAAAAATATGTTTCTTATAGACATATATTTATATATATTTATATGTTTGGATCTTGCTTCTCTCTCCCACCATGGACAATCTCTGCCTTTTCACTGAGGTACTTAGACCATTTACATTTATTGTGATTATTGATATTATTAGGTTTAAATTTCATCTTGCTACTTATTTTCTACGTGTTTCATATGTTCTTTGTTCACTTTTTCCTCATTTTCTTACTGCTTTTGCCTTAATTGGGTGTGTTTGATGATTCCATTTTGACTCCTTCTTGACTTTTGAGCTGTAACTTTTGTTAATTTGGTGGTGGTTTTTAGGGTTTATAGTATGCATTCTTACCACGATCTCCCTTCAAGTGATATTATACTACTTCACATATAGTAAAAGAACCTTACAACAGGATACTTTCGTTTTTCCATTCCCAACCTTTGTGGTATTGTTTTCAGACACTTTTGCATGTGTTAAAAAAATCCACATCTTATTATTTTCATCTTAATAATTATCTTTTAAAGGAATTTAAATAATAAGAAAAAAACCTCTTGTATATTTATCCATGTAGCTATCATTTCCAGGGCTCTTCATTCTTTGTATAGATCTGGATTTCCATTTTGGTATCATTTTTTCTTCTGGCTGGAGGACTTCCTTTTACATTCCTTGTAGCACAAGTCTTCTGATGATGAATTATTTCAGCTTTGGTATGTCTGGGAAAGTATTTTGCTTTCATTTTGAAGTATATTTTGCTGTACAAATATATTTCTGCTGGAATGGCAGGGTCCTTTTTCTCCTTTAAGCACTTTAAAGACATTGCTTCCCTGACTTGTTGTTTGCGTTGTTTCCAGTAAGAAATGTGTTGTTATCTTTATTCCTCTGTGTGTTTTTTGCTCTGGGTTTGCTTAAGATTTTCTCTTAATACTAGTGTTGAACAATTTGTTCTGTTGTGCTTTGGTATATAGTTTTATTCATGTTTCTTGTGCTTGGGATTCATTGAAATTCTTTAATCCATGGGTTTGTTGGTTTCATGAAATTTGGAAATTTTTTATTCATCTTTCTTCAGATATATTTTCCGTTCCCCCTTCTCTCTCCTCACCGTCATGAAATCTAATTACACATATTTCACCCTACCTAAACCTGCCCCATATCACTGATTTTCTGTTCTTTTTTTCTCTCTTTGTGTTTCATTTTTGGTAGTTTCTGTTACTGTGTCTTTAAGTTCACTAATCTTTTCTTCTGCGGTTTCTATTCTGTGGTTAGTCCCATCAAGTGTATTTTTTATCTAATACATTGTAGTTTTCCTCTCTAGAAATTTGGCTTAGGCCTTTTTATATCTTTATGTCTGTATCTTCTATATGTGAATGTCAGGCACTTTTCCATTCTCTCAGGAGGCTGTTTCCCAGCCTTGATTGAGTAACATGCCTACTCTGATCAGTGCTCCGCAGGATATTCAAGGACACCCTCTGCGTATCTCCAGGGCTCACTCTGTCTGCATGTCTCTTCCTTCCGGTACTCTGTCTTATGAAATCTGGCTGACTTGGTTTCCCTTGACTCTCAATTCAGGGGATCTGCTACACTCTGCCTGGGTTCCTTACTCTGAACAGTGAACTGTCATCTGGGTTTTGATATCTCTCCAAGGGAGGGATAAATGGTCATTGAAAGCAAGTGAGCATGGTGACGGGGTGGGGGTGGCCTCCACAGGGCACGAAGTGAGTTGTACTGAGTCATCTGAGAGTGCAGTGTGCTGCTTCTGGCCAGTGGGCTTGACAGTTCAGTGTCTGGGTTCAGAATATGAGTCTGCCCATGTTCTAAGCATGTTCTAAAGATTCATATCCCAAATTAGTTTTGATTTTGGTGGCCTATAACATCCATGTGATATGAATTATCAAGCTCAATATATAAATGCAGATACATGTATTCAATTCCGAGTTATGCAAGTGTCTTTTTAAAAACTTTCAACCCTGCAGAATTAGCCTGTGATTAGTTAAGATGAGATCGTTTAAACACAGCAAGAAAATAAGTACAAGGGTACTTCAAAAAGTTCATAAAGTTAAAAGATAAAAAAATGTTTAAAGATATAAACATTATTTCTCAACATAAGCTCCATCAAATTCAAGACATTTTTGTAAGTGCTGATCCTAGCCATTTAGATTGTCCCTAAAGAACTGAATGGTGGCTAGGTGTGGTGGCTCATGCCTGTAATCCCAACACTTTGGGAGGCCGAGGCGGGAAGATCATGAAGTCAGGAGATTGAGACCATCCTGGCCAACATGGTGAAACCCCATCTCTACTAAAAATACAAAAACCAGCTGGGCATGGTGGCACGCGCCTGTAGTCCCAGGTACTTGGGAGGCAGAGGCAGGAGAATCGCTTGAACCCAGGAGGTGGAGGTTGCAGCAAGCCAAGATCGCACCACACACTCCAGCCTGGCAACAAGAGTGAGACTCCGTCTCGAAAAAAAGAACTGAATGTCTTGGGAGTTTAACCATGTCAGTGCAGTCTTTCTTACATTAGTAACTGAAGAAAAATTCCTTAAGCATGCCCCTTAAGGAATTTTTGAGATTAGGAAACAAAAAGAAGTCAGAAGGAGCCAAATGAGGTGGATTTGCAACCACCATAAGGTGGATGGCTCATGATTTCCTCTCGAAACCCTCACACACTTGCCCTTGTTTGATGAGAGGAATAAATAGGCGCTTTGTCATGGTGAAGGTCTCTGGCGAAGCTTCCCCAGGGGGTTTCTGCTAAAGCTTTGGCTCACTTTCTTGAAACACTGTCATCATAAGCAGATATTACCATCCTTTGGCCCTCCATGTGAACCCAACAAGCAAAACGCCTTGAGCATCCCAAAAATGCTGCCATGGCCTGTGCTTTGGCCAGTCAGCCTGTGCTTTGACTGGGCCCCTTCTGCCTCTTGGTAGCCTTTTTTTTTTTTTTTTTTGGATTATGCATTTTCTTCAGGATTGTCTTTGTAAAAGCTATTTTTATCTCCTGTTTGATGTTTGTTCTTGCTTCAATTTTAGCAGAAGTCATGTAGCTCTGATAGGAGCGCTTTTCAAACAGATGTCTTAATCTTCTTAGTGCCTCAAACTAGATCCTATTCAGACATGTTTCAGCAAGTTAGTACAAGTTTATTTTGGTGCCAAAAAATTTTGAAATCCATGAGGTTTTTTCATAATAAGCATTTTCCATGAACTTTTTCAAGACTCTTGTTAAGAATTAGGGTTTCCTATTGCATCATGGATGTCACACATGCAAAGCCACGTGACCTGAACATGCCTGGCCTCTCAGTGGCAGGGGAGCACATGCAGGCATGAGCGCCAGAGGTGGTGTGATACAGGAGCAACCCCCACCTGCACGACCTCATGGGACCCTGCATTAGTCTCAGAAGTGGCTCCCACCCATCCACTCTCAGGCTGCCAAGGTTCCTGGCTCCGTCAGTGCCAGAGTGAGAAAAGACACACTTGTCAGGAAGTCTCATGATTTCAGGTTTCTGTCAATCTTCTGCCCACCTGCCCTGTCAGACAAGTGCATACCCGTGGGTCAGTTCTGCTTTCTCAGCACTGCTCCTATTCTGGTGGCCGTGGAAGAGTGTGAGGCCACTGCCACGGCAGATGCACGCTCAAGTCTGCGTATATTCCTCGGCAGGCAGAATTCCCCCACCACGCACTTCTGTGGCCATGTCTGAGCACAGTGTGCCGCCCGTGGCTGCTCCCTCCCTGGGGGTGAAAGCGGGCTTCACACCACCTTCCTGTGTCTTCCGTTTCAGGCATCAGCAATGCAGAAGCACGGCAGCCAGGGAAGGCCCCCAACTTCAGTGTCAACTGGACGGTAGGCGACTCCGCTATTGAGGTCATCAACGCCACGACTGGGAAGGATGAGCTGGGCCGCGCGTCCCGCCTGTGTAAGCACGCGTTGTACTGTCGCTGGATGCGTGTGCACGGCAAGGTACTGAGGCGCCCTCACCGCAATGCGCCGGCTCCACCTCCCCAATAGCTTGTCTGTCCTCACACCTACTGTTCCTTAAGTTGTTTCATCATGTCATCATGCACAGCTTCCGAAAACGATCACTTGGAATGATTCTTCCTTCAGATTGTTTTAGCTTAGAAGTGTGGCTACGTCCCTGAAACCTTAATGCCATCTCAAAGGCAGCTCTTTTCCTCCCTGCTGCAGGGTAACACCCACTGCCAGGCCACTGTGTGTGGTGGAAACGTCTCTTACTCTCAGATATTGAAAGTCATTATGCAAAACGCAGGGCCAGTCACCCTGCTGTCCCCTCCTTCTCAGCAACATAAAAATTGCTTGGATTGTGATAACCCTCCAGTGGAGTTTTTAAACCTTTTGAATTAGCTGTGGGGCCCTTTTTTCCCCAGAATAAAACTTTATATAGTAAGTCAGGGTATTACTAGTTTGTGTGTATTCTTCAGTCAAGTAGATGGCATCTGTTTATTCTGAGACCAGCATTGTGCACTGGCATGGGAGGTATAGCCAGAAGGGACAGTGCCCGGGAGGGTCCTGTTCACCAGGGGCAGCACCCAGGCCAGCTGCCACAAGTCCAAGGTCCACACAGAAGGAGTTACTGGCCGCATGAGGGAAGGCCTCCGAGGTCATCAGGGTGATGACACACATAACATCCGTGGTGCTTCTTAGAGTTAAAAATGAAACGTGAATCCACTATTGGTGGTTTCCCAGAAGCATGTCTTCAGAACTCGGGGGTCTGTAGCTGCCTGTTTGACCAGCAAGACTGGAACTTGGCAATAACTCAGCCCTTAGGAGACGCCGCACCTTGTTCTGTGTGAAGCCGTTCCCTTGGCAGAAGGCGCCTTCCTCTGGGTTGCTTTCCCCCCAGAAGCCAATGCAGTTCTGAAGGCCATGTTTTGGTATCTTATTAGGTGTTGTTTTCATCTGTTACAGCGTCAACAGTTGCATTTGTTTTTTTATCCCTTCACAGGTTCCCTCCCACTTACTACGCTCCAAGATTACCAAGCCCAACGTGTACCATGAGTCCAAGCTGGCGGCAAAGGAGTACCAGGCCGCCAAGGCGCGTCTGTTCACAGCCTTCATCAAGGCGGGGCTGGGGGCCTGGGTGGAGAAGCCCACCGAGCAGGACCAGTTCTCACTCACGCCCTGACCCGGGCAGACATGATGGGGGGTGCAGGGGGCTGTGGGCATCCAGCGTCATCCTCCAGAACCTCACATCTGAACTGGGGGCAGGTGCATACCTTGGGGAGGGAGTAGGGGGACACGGGGGACCACCAGGTGTCCACGGTTGTCCCCAGCATCTCACATCAGACCTGGGGCAGGTGCGCAGTGTGGGGAGGGGATGGGGTGCGTCAGGGCCCAGCATCGCCGCCTGGCATCTCTCTGCCGCAGCATTTCCCCTTCTGAACCGTCCAGTGACTGCTTTCAATCTCGGTTTACGTTTAGAAATTGAGTTCTACTGAGTAGGGCTTCCTTAAGTTTAGGAAAATAGAAATTACTTTGTGTGAAATTCTTGAATAAATAATTTATTCAGAGCTAGGAATGTGGTTTATAAAATAGGAAGTAATTGTGTCAGGTCACTTTTATGCCACATTATTTTAATTGCAAAAAAGCATCTATATATGGAGGAGGGTGGGAAAATAGAGGTAGGAAATAGTAGCCTAAAGGAAATCGCCACACGTCTGTCTAAACTTAGGTCTCTTTTCTCCGTAGGTACCTCCCTGGGTAGTTCCACACACTAGGTTGTAACAGTCTCTCCCTGAGGAGCAGACTCCCAGCATGGTGTAGCGTGGCCCTGTCATGCACATGGGGTCCCGCAGCAGTGACTGTGTGTCCTGCAGAGGCGTGACCCAGGCCCCTGTAGCCCTCAGCCTCCTCTAGAAGCTTCTGTACTCCTTGTAGGATCAGATCATGGAAAACTTTTCTCAGTTTACTTCTAAGTAATCACAGATAATACATGGCCAGTAATCCCAGGCTGGCCATTCATTCAGGTTTTTTAAAGGATATTTAACTTTTATGGACTAGAAGGAATCACGAGGGCTACTGCACAATACATGGCCTAAGTTCCCTCTGTTCCTTCCTCTGAATCGAATGGATGTGGGTGACCGCCCGAAGGCCTTCACAGGATGGAAGTAGAATGATTTCAGTAGATACTCATTCTTGGAAAATGCCATAGTTTTAAATTATTGTTTCCAGCTTTATCAAAGACATGTTTGAAAAATAAAAAGCATCCAAGTGAGAGCTGGTGAGACCACGTGCTGCTGGCGTAGTGTAGGCCAGACATTGACAGTCCTGACGGGAGCTCAGGGCTGCCCAGCGCCCAGCGTGCACGGGACGGCCCCACGACAGAGGGAGTCAGCCCGGGAGGTCAGGAGCGCGGCGGGCGAGGGCCCTGTGTGGACCACCTCCACCAAGCTCAGAGATTTGCACCAGGTGCCTTGTTGCCTCCGCTCAGGATGAAAGAGGAGCTGAGAGAAGTGCTCTGCCTGCCAGTGCAGTGCCCAGCTCCAAGGCTCTAGAGGGTGTTCAGGTGGGTCTCCTGGGGCCATGGGGAGAGATTGGTGCAGACCTTACCCCACAGCATACACCTGCCACAGCGAAATCCAGGGTGTTGGCACCTGTGTGTCCGTGATGAGCCTAGGAAACCAGAGCAGGGGCAGAGGGGCGTCATCCTCCCACCGGACGCTGGGAGCTCAGACCCCAAAACTGAAACACCGTGGCTTCGGCGGGGGGTGTGCCTCCTGATGTCAGGAGCCCCATCCACGTGTGTCCACACAGATCTCGTCGCAGCACGGCAGGAAGGGGTGCTGCTTAGGGCTCATTGTTGGGGACATGACCGGGTTCAGCGGCTAGAACATCTGCCCCACAGCAGCCTCCTCCTCCACCGAAGAGGGTAGTTGTCTCCCTGAAGCAGTCACAGCAGGCGTCTCTGCCGCTCCGTCACCACAGTGGGGTTTTGTTCAGGCAGATCGCGCTGGGGTTCTGCACCTGCAGAAGGAGAGGGGTCTGTTGTCGCTGGCTTTCCCCCAAGCAGGCTCTTGCACACTCTAGAAAAAACACCTTGTAAGTCTGTGCATTTTTATTGTCTTGATAAATTGTATTTTTTTCTAATGGGGATTGGGAGATGGACTTCGTTTTTAAAAATATGTGGATTTTGGTTACCAAGTTTAGTGTTAATATATTCCATATACATACAAAACTACCCGGTATGTCTGGCTTTTCCCTTCTGTCAGGTAATAGCTAAAGTCAGCATGATTGCTCCCTGTACCACCCCAAATAAGTGAGTGCCTCACCTTGTGGGGCCTGAGCAGCTACCTTGAGACCATGTGAGGTGGCACCTTTCCGGGGTGGACTCGTGCGGCCTTGAGGACAGGCACAGGGCACCCTATCCCAAGCCGTCCAGGCAGGAGGAAGGCAGCCAAGGCAACTGGGTTCTGGGAGCCCTGGGTGGGGCAGCTGTGGGGAGGAACTGGGTTCGGGGAGCCCTGGGCGGGGCGGCTGTTGGGGGGAACTGGGTTCGGGGTGCCCTGGGCAGGGGGCTACTGGGGGGCGGCTGTGAGGAGGAGTTGGGTTCAGGGAGCCCTGGGCGGGGTGGCTGTCAGGGGGAACTGGGTTCCGGGAGCCCTGGGCCGGGGCAGGGGGCGGCTGTAGGAAGGAACTGGTTTCGGGGAGCCCTGGGCGGGGCGGCTGTGGGGAGGAAGGTGACGTGCAGGGGACCAGAGGCTCTGCACTGCTCCTAGGACAGCTCATCTGTAATCAGAAAAAAAATAAACAAAATACAGAACGCTGACTCCTCCGTGAGACAGATCGGGGACCTTAGCACTTTAATCCCTCCCTTCTGAGCGCTCGGTGTGCACTTTTAGACTATAGCTGTTTCATTGACGTGTCACTCTCCATCCAGTGTCCTTGATGTGGCTTTTAGAGACTTAGCAGAAAATTCGACACAAGCAGGAACTTGATTTTTTAAGAAAAAATATTACATTTTGAGGACATTTTGACAAGTAGGGGAAGAGAGGGCTTCTGTTGTTTTGTTTTGTTTTGTTTTGTTAACTAAACCTGAAGTATTAATTCCACAAAGACACTGTCCCTCAGGACCACTCAGGTACAGCTCTGCCAGGGACAGAGTCCTGCTAGTGGGAGGTCTCAGGTGGGGCGGTGTGTTCTGTGCCATGAGGCAGCGACAGGTCCAGATGGATGTCGTCACCACCTTCCTCAGCTCTCATCACCTGGTCGTACGCCAGGCCCACCTCTTCCCAGCAAGGGACGCCAAAGAACTGCAGTTTTTATTCTGAGTCTTAATTTAACTTTTCATCATCTTTTCCTATTTTGGAGAATTTTTTGTAATTAAAAGCAATTATTTTAAAATGTGCAAGCCAGTATCTCACAAGGCATGGATTTCTGTGGAATTTATTTTTATTCAAATAACCATATTTATCTCCAGGCTGTGGAATCGCCACTTTCTTTGTGAAGACAGTGTCTCTCCTTGTAATCTCACACAGGTACACTGAGGAGGGGACGGCTCCGTCTTCACATTGTGCACAGATCTGAGGATGGGATTAGCGAAGCTGTGGAGACTGCACATCCGGACCTGCCCATGTCTCAAAACAAACACATGTACAGTGGCTCTTTTTCCTTCTCAAACACTTTACCCCAGAAGCAGGTGGTCTGCCCCAGGCATAAAGAAGGAAAATTGGCCATCTTTCCCACCTCTAAATTCTGTAAAATTATAGACTTGCTCAAAAGATTCCTTTTTATCATCCCCACGCTGTGTAAGTGGAAAGGGCATTGTGTTCCGTGTGTGTCCAGTTTACAGCGTCTCTGCCCCCTAGCGTGTTTTGTGACAATCTCCCTGGGTGAGGAGTGGGTGCACCCAGCCCCGAGGCCAGTGGTTGCTCGGGGCCTTCCGTGTGAGTTCTAGTGTTCACTTGATGCCGGGGAATAGAATTAGAGAAAACTCTGACCTGCCGGGTTCCAGGGACTGGTGGAGGTGGATGGCAGGTCCGACTCGACCATGACTTAGTTGTAAGGGTGTGTCGGCTTTTTCAGTCTCATGTGAAAATCCTCCTGTCTCTGGCAGCACTGTCTGCACTTTCTTGTTTACTGTTTGAAGGGACGAGTACCAAGCCACAAGAACACTTCTTTTGGCCACAGCATAAGCTGATGGTATGTAAGGAACCGATGGGCCATTAAACATGAACTGAACGGTTAAAAGCACAGTCTATGGAACGCTAATGGAGTCAGCCCCTAAAGCTGTTTGCTTTTTCAGGCTTTGGATTACATGCTTTTAATTTGATTTTAGAATCTGGACACTTTCTATGAATGTAATTCGGCTGAGAAACATGTTGCTGAGATGCAATCCTCAGTGTTCTCTGTATGTAAATCTGTGTATACACCACACGTTACAACTGCATGAGCTTCCTCTCGCACAAGACCAGCTGGAACTGAGCATGAGACGCTGTCAAATACAGACAAAGGATTTGAGATGTTCTCAATAAAAAGAAAATGTTTCACTACTCTGGTGTTGCTGAGACTTTCTTTTCCTTTCAAATTATTTCTGCCCTTGGCTCCACTAGCAGGCCTGGGTATGGACACCCACATGCATAACCTGAAAAGGTGGCTGAGTCCCGCCCAAGAGCTGCAGCTCTGCCTCCACGTGGTCTTGTCACCTGCTGTGCTTGCACCAGTGCTACTGGAATTTCCCCACCTTGGGACAGTCTCCCCTCAGTCCCCACCCCTGTTAGATTCTTGACTTCACTGTCTTCCTGGAGAGCGTGTTGGCGCCTCTCCTATATATAAGGTGGTGTAGAGGAAAAGTAGGCAGCTGCCCCACTCCCATCCTGCATATAAAATGGATGTTGACACATGCCCGTGTGACTCGTTACCCTCACGTTACTTGTGGCTAGAACACAGGAAGAACCTACACACTCAATAAGAGGCAAGGGTGACACGGGTGCTGGGGTGCAGTGAAAAAAACCAGGTGCTAAGTGCCACCATAGAACTATGTTATTTCTAATTACAACACTGGAAGGACAGTCACAATAAGTGGAAAGTTGGCAGCAAAGCGGCATTTCCGTGTCGTGGCTGTAACAGTGTATATATGCTTCACGTACTGTACGAGCACAGGTGGGCCAGGCTGTCTAAGAAGGGAGTCTGGCCGTGGTCTGTGGACATGGGATTTGAGATGGTTTTGATTTTGTGTTCTTATGTGAAAAGCATATCCGTTTGTCTGATGTTTCTACAATTAAATGAAAAACAAATATAGGAAAATATTTTGAAAAGTCAAAAGCATCATACAAGTAATAAAAAAAGCACTATTACAGACAGGTAACTTGATTTTCTCATTTGCATCAATTTTGAAACTATTTCATTTCCCACAATAAAAACGTTAAAATATGTTGCAGCAAAAACAAGCTTCAGAGAAAAGAATGAAGGGAACCCTCTCCCTGATGAGTGAATCCTTTGAACAGTGATTCTTCGGGAGCTGCCTCGGGGGCCACACCAGATGGAATACTCGGACTCACTATTCTGTCATGGAACTGGGGAAATGTCCGAATTTGACCACGTAAGATGAAAGTTTTGCTTTTTACGAGATACTGTATAGTGAATCTCGTAGAGCCTGGCTGTAAATGTTGAGGTTCTCGAGCTTTTATTCAGTACATGCGTAATGAAGGCCGACCCGGAAGGCACTATTTCAGGTGCTTGGAACAGGTCGGTGAACACAACACAGACTCCCCCCCAAATAGCTGCTGCTCTGCAGGAAAGCAAATAACACACCAGACGCCAGTGTCAGGGAATGGTGCCTGGGAAGAAAGAAAAAGCAGGTGAGGATAGTGCAGTGGGGCGGGCTGCAATGGTAAGTACTGGGATCAGAGTAGCCTCACAGAGAAGGCTTGCAAGGCAGATGGTCAGCCAGAGGGGGCCTGGCGAGCCCGGGGCACTGGACCAGGCATCAGCGTGCCACTGCTGGAGGCTGCAGTGCCAGGAACCTGGCCCACCAGTAGGTGAACGCAGCTGTTATTTAACGTCACATTTGATAAACTCAGAATGATATTAAAAACAAAGGTAAACACTCGAAACTCGTCACTTCCTACTTTTTGCTGCATTTTACTGCAATCTGTGTTCTTACTGTGTGCATACTCTGCAATGGTGGGCACGCCCCTCCTAGGCTGCGTTTGGGAACTCACATCAGTAGCTTGGAATCAGTTGTGGTGGGAGGTTTCACACCACTGGTACCCACAGACACGGTGACTCAAGGCTTGACTCACTGTTGTGATTGTCTCTAGACCTAGCAAGGGATGGAGGAAGATGCAGATCAAACTGCAAATGTAGCTGTTACATTGTGAATGGCACAGAAAATTGAAGAAACTGTCTCACAGCCTCTGGAAACTGTTATCTACTTAAGCAAAGAAGTCACTCAGTCACTGAACAAGTGAAGCTCTGGCATTCGTCCTGCTGCTTCGCCTTCATCTGACTCATCGGTGAAAACATCCCCAGCATTCTTGTCAGAACCACACTCATTCATCAGCTGCAACCCTGTGTTGGCTTCAGATGTAGGGCTCAGCAAGACTCAATGAAAGCATTCCATAAAAACTGGCTCTGTGGGATTTACAACAGTACTGTCTATTTTATTCATGTTTTTAAGTTGCATGCTGCTCCTTTTATATCTGTAACATGTACAGTACGCTTATGTACACATATGTGTGCCCACACTGGAGCAGGGTAGCCTGTTTAGCATTTACTAGCACACCACTGGGTCCCAGATGTCCTTGGGAACAGATCAAGGCAGTGCAAAGGCCCTGTGCTGGTGAGGGGCTGAAAGTTGGTGGGAACTAATCAGCCTCTGGCAGGTGCCTCCCCCATCCCACCCTCCAGGACTGGTGAGATTGGTCTGTGTGGTACAGCTGCAGGAGAAAAAAGTGTGAGGCCAGACCTGAGGGATGAGGAGTGAGTGTGGGTTTCTGCTGGCCCACCTCCCGCTATGCCCTCAGGCACTGAGGTCCCACCTTCTGCCTTCTGGCCAAGCAGCCAATGCCTCCAGGGGAAAATGACCTCATAAGGAGAAATGAGAAATCTGCAGAGCACAACTATCTAAAGCTCAAAATGGTAATACTGAATAGAGATCCTATTAGAATAGATTCTAGCGTTTTAGAACACAGTCCAGGAAGAGATCAGAAAACAGAACCAAGCAGAATTTGAAAAAGTGAACACAACAGATGAACTACATAGTGGAATGAACTTACCATTGGAAGACCACATGGAAAAGGAGAGGGTAACAAAAAAGAAAATATAGAAATACTAAAATATTTGGCTGATAGAAGTGCTAACATCTGGCTAATATAATGTTCATGGACTTTGCCACACCCACAGACTGAAGGCATCACAGATGAAAGGATGTGTCTGAGACGGGCTTAAAACAGCAACAGCAGTTAGTTCCCACCAACTTTCAGCCCCTCACCAGCACAGGGCCTTTGCACTGCCTTGATCTGTTCCCAAGGACATCTGGGACCCAGTGGTGTGCTAGGGCATGGTGGCTCACGCCTGTAATCCCAGCACTTTGGGAGGCTGAGGTGGGCAGATCATGAGGTCAGGCATTTGAAACCAGCCTGGCCAGTATGGTGAAACTCTGTCTCTACTAAAAATACAAAAATTAGCCGGGCGTGGTGGCATGCACCTGTAGTCCCAGCTACTCGGGAGGCTGAGGCAAAAGAATCGCTTGAACCCAGAAGGCAGAGGTTGCAGTGAGCCAAGACCACACCACTGTAGTCCAGCCTGGGCGACTGAGCGAGCCTCCATCTCAAAAAACACACACACACACACACACACAAAAATACTGGGACAGCTGAGCGTGGTGGCTCATGTCTGTAATCCCAGCACTTTGGGAGGCCAAGGCGGGTGGATCACAAGGTCAGGAGATTGAGACCATCCTGGCTAACACGGTGAAACCCTGTCTCTACTAAAAATACAAAAAATTAGCCGGGCGTGGTGGCGGGCGCCTGTAGTCCCAGCTACTCGGGAGGCTGAGGCAGGAGAATGGCGTGAACCCCGGAGGCAGAGCCTGCAGTGAGCCGAGATCGCGCCACTGCACTCCAGCCTGGGTGACAGAGCAAGACTCAGTCTCAAAAAAATAAAATAAAAAATATAACAGGGACAGGCAGCTCCACTAATGGAGAAGACAAGAAGATTCGGATGAAACGATACCGGCCAAGTGTTGGTAATTGTATGTTTGCAAATGTTCATAAGAAGATTTAAAAAGTGCTAGCATAGACTTTTTAAAATGCCATTTATTTGGTACTCTAAGGACTCGTGGGATTTTTTTTCACACAAAAGCAACAACTTTTAGTGCTGTAAAATGTAAATTGTCCAAATTAAAGAAAATAAGAAAAATATCAGGAAGCTTTTAAAATTGCAATCATTTACTTCCTTAGAGAGTCATTTTAAATGTATTTTTGTGGAAACAAGTACTTTATACATCAGCTGAATCTTATGTTGTTCTCCCTGGTCGATTTTCTTTCCTAGCACTGATTAATGACATTTGCATTTGTTTATCTGTCCCACTATGAAATGCAGACATCAGGGGGTGAGAGGCATTGGTTTGTTCATGGCTATTCACTTGGCACAAGCCTGCTATGTTGCAGATATTAAATAAATATATTCTGTATTAATTTTAAAAGTTCCCAGACATACCATGCGTCAGAGCTTTGCCACCTGGGAAGCAGGTTTGCATGAGATGCTTAAATTGAGAAACAAAATTTAGGAAATCTTACAAGAGGTTTACAGTGTAAAAATCAGTACTTTGCTAAGTTTGTGGTGGTTTTTTTTTTTTTTTTTCTTTTGAGACGGAGTCTTGCTATCGCCCAGGCTGGAGTGCAGTGGCGCGATCTCGGCTCACTGCAACCTCCGCCTCCCGGGTTCACGCCATTCTCCTGCCTCAGCCTCCCTAGTAGCTGGGACTACAGGCGCCCGCCACCAGGCCCGGCTAATTTTTTGTATTTTTAGTAGAGACGGGGTTTCACCGTGTTAGCCAGGATGGTCTCGATCTCCTGACCTCGTGATCCGCCCGCCTCAGCCTCCCAAAGTGCTGGGATTACAGGCGTGAGCCACCGCGCCCTGCCTGCGGTGGTTCTTAAAAAGCTAAAGTCAGGCCAGACACGGTGGCTCACGCCTGTCATCCCAGCACTTTGGGAGGCCGAGGTGGGTGGATTGCCTGAGCTCAGGAGTTTGAGACCAGCCTGGCCAACATGGCGAAACCCTGTCTCTACTAAAAATACAAAACATTAGCCGGGCATGGTGGCATGCACCTGTAATCCCAGCTACTCGGGAGGTTGAGGCACGAGAATCGCTTGAACCTGGGAGGCGGAGGTTGCACTGTGAGCCGAGATTGCGCCACTGCACTCCAGCCTGGGGGACAGAGTGAGACTCCGTCTCAAAAAAAAAAAAAAAAAAAAAAAAAGTGAAAGAAAACAACACACATCTTTAATAACCCAGAATTTAGTCTGGGTAATATCAACGTGATAAGGCCAGGGCGACATGGAGACCCAAGTATATGAGAGTACGTCTCAGTCTCTGTCCCACTGGGGCACAGATGGGAATCTCCATTATTTTTCTAATGAACAAAGGTCAAAGATTTTATGTTAATCATTATAAAATCTGTTAATAAGGGAAGTGGTAAGATGTTAAAATTGACTCCGTTGACAAATTGACTAACTCTAATAGATTAAATGAATTAGGGCTTTTATCTGCTTGTCCCAGGCAGAAAACAGTAGGGCCAAAACAGAAGTCAATAACCGGTGGATAATTTTGTCTGACCTCATGAATATTGAATGCTTCATGAATACTGAATGCCTCATGAATATTGAATGTCTTATGAATACTGAATGCCTTATGAATACTGAATACCTCTCTGATGCTCCCATTTTCTCTCCACAGTCTACTGGCTCATGTGTCTCACAGGCTACTGGCCTGTCTGCTCATTTCTCTTATTTTCTATGGATGAGTTGAATACTCTTAGATACTCATAAACAATACTGCAGACACACCTTACACTTTGTCAGCTACGGGATTTGTTAGTTTTCCACATTATGTTGATTCTTTCCTTCTAGGACTTAGAGTGAAGACACATTGGACCTTTCATGCTATCTACCACTTGGGTCAGTTATGAAGCTTTATCTCTCAGTTCCAAATTCAATATTTACGTTCCGCTTTATAATATTGAGGCTGGGACCCTGCAAATATGATGTTCCCATTCTCTGCTGGCTTTATATTCTGCCAAAGGTAGTACAAGAGGGACCATGGCAGACAGGATGAGGGAGAAGGTGATTTCCTGCCATTTGCTTGCTGTTGCTGCTCAGCCGCAGTGCTTCTGCAACTGCAAAGCTGCTATTGGTTCTCATCAGCAGGTTGCTTTGGAGTCTCACTGCCCGCCTTCACAGGTGCCAGTAGCAGGACAGCAGCACTCCACCTCAGAGGCTGAGGTCCAGCTCTGCACAGCCCCTCCTGAACTTCTGTAATACGTAGCAAAATTAATGGGGGAGGGTTTATAAATGACTTTTATACTTGATTTTTTTAATAAGAGATGGGGTCTCTGTCACCCAGGCTGGAGTGGAGTAGCACAACCGTAGTCCACTGCAGCCTCAAACTCCTGGGCTCCTCCCACCCCAGCCTCTTGAGTAGCTGGGACTACAGGTGCATGCTACCACACCCAGCTAATTTTTAAATTTTTTGTAGGAGTCTTGCCATCTTTCTCAGACTAGTTTCGAACTCCTGGGCTCAAGTGATCCTCCTACCTTGGCCTTCCAAACAGCTAGGATTACAGGTGTGAGCCACTGCACCTGGCCTATAGTTGATTCTTATTTAGTGTTTTGCTCCTAAAAGTAATGTTCAATAAACATATACACACAAGTCCTCACTTAGTACATGACCTGAACATTTACCCACATGCTTCATTAAAGTGTTACAAATTAAGTAAGAAGAGTGGTATATAGATGTATTTTCTTGTAATGGCATATCATAAAGTGGGTCAATTAATTATATTAGCTCTACACGTCTTAAATCATAACTTTATTGCTTTTGGTAATTTAATAAGATGTCCTCTATAATTTATTTCTCAGTGGTTTTCTTTTTTTAATATCCTTGAAAAAGCATGCTAACACTTTTATTTCAATTGAAAAAGTAGGTCAGACTTTTCCTGACGAAAAATGTCTAATTTGGTTCACTGGTTTGACAAGGAGGATTAGGGTATATGGAGGACATCTGCCATAAATAGAATGAACTACATCTTCAAGGATTCAATGAAAACACATTTAAAATAATAGTATAATAAAAGCATTTTATCAAAAATATTAAATTGGCCCCAAAAAGCAATGAAATTAACAACATTTTAATGTTCTCAACCCCCTCAAACTATATTAGATTAAATAAGGTGACAGAGAATCAGGGATAAACGACAGTCCCTTGATAAACTGAGACAAGGACAGCCTCTTAGTAAATGTTCCAGAAATTGAGACTGACTGGATAACACATCCTTTGGCAAGTCAAGTAGTTTCTAATCCTTTGCTTTCAAAACACTTGAATGAAAAACCGAGTTGATAGCTGATAAAGCATTAAACTAATTTTTACAGTTTTAAAATTTCAGATCATCATCGGATTTAGGAACTATTACTCAGAAGAGTTCAGAACACAATTGAGGGCCATTGCTATACTATACCTCCTTATCTACATATTCATGCAAACAAAGTTTCCTAACATGGTCTATAAAAATGAAGAGAAAAATATACTTGAGACTGAAGCCTGCCTCACTGGAGCTGAGTCCTCCTGTTCCTTGAGTGTGGGAACCAATCGGCTGGAAAAACAGCCCCACTCTTCTCATTAACGAGGCAGTTTCAATCAAATGTGTTTATGTGTTAATAGTTATCTATCAGTTTGTAACATACATATGTTTTCTGAAAAACTGAAGTGATACTACTTGTGAAAATAACTCAGGAGATATTAAAAGCTTTTGATCACAAAATAAATTTTAAATTTTTGACCCCATTTAAAGCTTTTTGTTGTAGAGAAGTAGGGCGAGGTAAGCACAAAAGACTTCCAGGAGGCAAAGTAGATGGCACTGGGGTCAAATTTTGTGACAGAAGCCGAATCACGTCCAGGAACGACCAAAACTTCCAAAGGAGCAAAAGCTAGTCCTTTTGCGGGGGCGCAGGCAGAAGCGGCGGCAGAAGCGGCGGCAGAAGCGGCAGGCGGAAGCGGCAGGCGGAAGCGGCAGGCGGAAGCGGAAGGCGTCCATCTTTACCGTGTTCAGACCCGGATGAGTCCTAGTCCCCGCCACACACAGGTCGTGGGTTCTCCTTTGAGAGTGACCACTGGTTCCTAGAGCTTTTCCTAAACTGGAGACGGATCCTGCCCTGGGGGTCTCAGTCACCGCGAGGACTCGAGGGTAACTGCCAGAGGTCCCAGGTGGCCCGAGGTGATGCCGGGCGCAGGGAGGGGCTGGGGCGGAGAGAGGGCTGGGGTTTGGGGCCGTGTCGGGGATGAGTGGTGAGGGGTGCCCAGAAGGGGGAGGCAGAGGTTGGTGTGGCCACGGTGGAAGGAGCCACAAACGTGGACATGTAAAGGAGGACCAAAAGGTTTTTTTTTGTAAAGATCAATATTTAGGACAGAAATCACAACCTTTCTATAAAACAAAACAACTGTATAATTTAAAAATTGAATTGTGAGCTAAACGCATATGAGGGGTTACGGGTTTTCAAAATTCAGAGATTAGGAGCAAAACCAAAAACTTGTAGCCCGCTTCCCTGTGAGCCTCTTCTCCAGCCCAGCCCGGCTGCAGGACTCTGGGGCTGCCTTGAGGACGGGGTGCTATTTCTCAGGTTTCGTCTGCAAAGGGGTAAGTCACCCCAAACCAGAGCACTCAGTGGTGGACTTACAGCCAATCCTGAGCTTCTCAAGACACTAGAGTGCACCCCAGCCTGCCTGCCCCCGAGGCCTGGCACCAGCCAGTGCGGCAAACCAGCAGGCAGGGCACTGAATGTCGTCTGAGCTGCAGGGCCCTTCCTGGGGCTGGGGGTCCAGGCCAGAGCCTCTGTGCTGTGTGTGTGTCCTTACTGTCCACGCCCGAGCCTCATTTATATGGAGAACACATTTCTTCTCAGAAAAGCAAACCTCAAGCAGTTGAACTGGAGAATGAGGACAGAAGGGCTTATGCAGAGCCGGGATATTTTTTACACAAAATCAGAGGAGGGCGACCTTCAAACTATTATTTGTTTTTCTCCTTTGGCCTGGAACTAATCAGCTTAGCATGGATGCCTGGGTGTCCCGGTGAGATAGCGAACCCATCTCATTTGGGTGTTTACCTTTTATAAAAGAAAAAAAAATCCATTTCTTATGAGTACATTGTTATTTATTCTAGAACTTCCCTCATAAACCGTCAGTTCATGCTATGTAATCCTATAAAGTAGTTTATTTTTAAAAATCGTTGAAAGGATAAGCAGAAGATCGCCTCTTCCTGGCATGTGTCAAATTGCTTTATATGTAGCTATTCTAGAGCAAAAATGCTGACTGTCCGTTGAATATTGTCACTTGCCAAGCAGAGAGCTGCGCACCCCTTTCACCCATCTGTGGGTCAGTATGCAGTGTATTTGGGGATATGACACAGTTTCTTATCGCTTCCCATCACCTGTCCTGTGTGAATTGAGGCGGAAGTAATCTCTTGAGGATGACCTGTCTGTGTTTAAATTGAAGATGAATATTGCCATGGACAAATCTGATTTGATCATTGAAGGGACAAGCCTCTGTTTTAGAATTCATTGTGTTGTCACTCAGTTTTGCTGTGATTGCCTCCTTGGTGCCTCCTCTTTCTGCGACAAAACCGAGGGAAAAAATAGGTGGGGGGAACTGTGCTGCAGGTACTTTTAAGTGGATTCAATTTACCTCTGTTTAAGTAGTAGAGAAATATGTTTGGGCCCTGGAGAGAAAAATGCCCTGGATAATTTGCTTATAAACCAGGCGCATGCCTGGAGTGACCAGTGAGTGTGGCAGCAGCCAGGAGGGGCCACCCTGTTGTCCCTGCCTCAGGGCAGGCTCTCCCACCCCAGCTCCTTGGTGGTTCAGGTGACCTTGTGCATCCCTCATGTCAAGCCCTTGCCCAGGCAAGCAGGGGTGGGGCTGGAGCCCTGGGATTCACACAGGGCACGCCGTGCACCATGAGGTCAGTGACATCATAACAGAAGCCTGGCTTCTCAGACCCATCCAGCCCCAGGAATCCTGAAAGTGGGCAGACCTTCAGGGCACTGGGACAATTTGGAGGGAAGGGAGGGGCTATCTCAAGGAACCCTGCAGTGCATGTACCTCTCAGGGAGAAACGGGTGACAGTGGAAGCGCCCTGGTCTGGGGATCAAGGTACCTGGGCTTAAAGCTTTGCTCCCATATACCTCAGTCAGCCTCCTCCTCTGCAAAACAAAGACAGTAAAGCCTGGCCACCCACCCCTTGCTTGGTCTTCAGGGTGTCAAGATGGAACTCACACTTTGAGTCTTGGCTGGGATGGCGTTTGGGCTGGATAAAGGAAGTACAGTGAAAGTAGAAGTGGTAGTCAGACCGATGTGCAGCTGGGTTTGCTCTGCTGGGCAGTGAGAAGCAAGTGCTGAGTGACTGCCACCCAGAGGAACATGGCTGTCAGGCCCTGTGACCCAGCACCTCTCCACCCTGGATGTAAACTGCTGAGAATCAAGGGGTGGGGCTCCCAGGAATGAGGCCATGGCAGATGAGGAGGTCTGGAGTGTCTAGCCTAGTGCAAGCTATTTGTTTCCCAGACAAATAGCTCAGTGGAGCAGAATAGAGAGCCCAGAAGTAGACCCATATAAATATAGTCAACTGATGTTTGCCAAAAGTACAAAGGCAATAAAATGGACAAAAGATAGTGTTTTCAACAAATGGCGCTCGATGTTCACATGAAAAAATAAAAGCATGTAAACACAAATCATAAACCCTTCACAACAGCTAACTCTAAATAGATCACAGAAACTACAAACGACAAAATTTCTAGAAAGTGACATTAGAGAAAACCTAGATGGCTTGGGTTTGGTGATGACTTTTTAGGTACAACACCAAAGGCAACATCTATGAAGGAAACAATAGGCTGGACTTCATTAAAATTAAAAACTGCTCTGCAAAAGATAAAGCCAAGAGGCTGAAAAGACAGGTCATAGACTGGGAGAATATGTTTGCAAAAGACACATCTTATAAAGGGTCATTATCTAAAATCAATAAAGACTCTTAAAGCTCAACAATAAGAAAATGATCTGATTTTTTAAATGGGCAAAATAATTTAAGAGATTCCTCACCCAAGAAGATATACAGATGGCAAATAAGCATATGAAAAGATGCTCCAAATCTTATGAGGGAAGTGCAAATTAAAACAAGAATGAGATGCCACTACACATCTATTAGAATGGCGAAAATCCAGAACACTGACAACACCAAATGCTGGTGAGGATGTGGAGCAACAGGAACGCTCATTCATTGCTGGTAGGAATGCGAATGGTACAGCCACTTTGGAGGACCGTTTGACAGTTTCTTACAAAACTAAATATAATCTTACCATATGGTCCAGCAGTTGCGCTCCAAAGAAGCTGAAAACTTAGGTCCACACAAAACCTGCTCACGGATGTTTATAGCAGCTTTATTCATTATTGCCAAACTTGGAAGCAACCAAGATGTCCTTCCTTCAGTAAGTGAATGGATAAATGAAACGTGGCACATTTGGGCAATGGAATATCAGTCAGTGCTGTAAAGAAATTAGCTAGCAAGTAATGAAAAGATGTAGAGGAACCTTAAATGCATGTTACTAGGTGAAATAAGTCTATCTGAAAAGGCTATATATTGTATGATTCCAACTATATGACATTTTGAAAAAAGTCAAAACTGTGGAAACAGTAAAAAGACTAGCAGGAGTCAGGCATTTGAGAGCAGGAGGAGTGAATAGGCATAGCACAGAGGATTTTTAGATGGAGTTTTGCTCTTGTTGCCCAGGCTGGAGTGCAGTGGCGCAATCTTGGCTCACTGCAACCTCCACCTCCCGGGTTCAAGTGATTATCTTTTCTCAGCCGCCTGAGTAGGTGTCCACCACCACGCCTGGCTAATTTTTTTTGTATTTTTAGTAGAGATGGAATTTCACCATGTTGACAAGGATGGTCTCAAACTCCTGACCTCAGGTGATCCACCCACCTTGGCCACCCAATGTGCTGGGATTACAGGCATGAGCCACCGTGCTCAGCCAGTATAATAAGATTTAAAGAGAAACATCAAAACATTAAAAAGTGGGAGGATGAAGGTAAAATGTAGAGTTTTTATTCGTTTTCTCTTTGCTTGTTTGTTTATGCACCAGTGTTAAGTTGTCATCAGTTTAAAATAATGAGTTATAAGATATTATTTGTAAGCCCCATGGTAACCTCAAACCAAAAAACATACAACAGATACACAAAAAATAAAAAGCAAGAACTGAAAACGTACCGCAAGAAAAAATCACCTTCACTAAAAGAAAGACAGAAGGGAAGGAAAGAAGGAAGATGAGAGCACAGAACAACCAGAAAACAAATAATAAAAGGGCAAGAGTAAGTCTTTAACTTATCAATAATAACAGTGAAAGTAAATGAACTAAACTCTCCAACAAAAGATTAAAAAACAAGACCCACCAGTCTGTTGCCTGCAAGAAACACACTTCACCTATAAAGACACACAGTGGCTGAAAATAAAGTTATGGAAAAAGATATTCCATGCAAATGGAAAACCCAAAAAAGAGCAGGAGGCCCTATACTTACGTCAAACAAAATAAATTTCAAGACAAAAACTATAATAAGAGAAAAAGTAGGTAATTATATAATGATAAAGGGGTTAATTCAGCAAGATGATATAACAATTGTAAGTACATATGCACCCAACACTGAAGCACCCAGATATATAAAATATTATTAGAACTGAAGAGAGAGATAGACCCCAATACAATAATAGCTGGAGACTTAACACCCCACCTTCAGCACTGGACAGACCATTCAGATAGAAAATCACTAAAGAAACATTGGACTTAATCTGCACTGTAGACCAAATGGACCTAATAACTGTTTACAGAATATTTTATTTAATGGCTGTGGAATACACATCCTTCTCAGCACGTGGATCATTCTCAAGACCGTATGTTAGGCCACAAAACAAGCCTTTAAAAATTCCAAAAAAATGAAAGTATATAAAATATCTTCTCTGACCACAATGGAATAAAACTAGAAATCAATAATGAGGAATTTTGGAAACTATACAAACATATGGAAATTAAACAATATGCTCCTGAATAAGAACAAAAACCATATGATCATTTCAATTGATGCTGAAAAAGTATCTGATAAAATTCAACATCCCTTTATGATTAGAAAAAATAAAAAATAAAAGCGATGTACAACAGACCCATAGCTGGTATTATACTGACGGGGAAAAACTGAAAGCCTCTCCTCTAAGATCTGAAACAAGACAAAGATGCCTCCTTTCACCACTGTTATTCAACATAGCACTGGAAGGCCTAGCTAGAGCAATCAGACAAGAGAAATAAATAAAGGGCATCCAGATTAGAAAAGAAAGTCAAATTATCATTGTTTGCAGAGGATATGATCTTATGTTTGGAAAAACCTAATGACTGTGCTGAAAAAGTATTAGAACTGATAAATTCAGCAAAGTTGCAGGATACAAAATCAACCTACAACAGTCAGTAGCATTCGTGTATGCCAACAGTGAGCAATCTGGAAATGAAATCAAGAAAATAATTCCATTTACAATAGCTACAAATAAAATAGGAAGAAACTTAACCAAAGAAGTGAAAGTTCTCTATGGTGAAGACTATAACACATCAATGCAAGAAATTGAAGAGAACACACAAAAAAATGGAATGATGTTTCATGTTCATAGACTGGAAGAACCAGTATTGTTAAAATGCCCATACAACCCAAAGCAGTCTACACACTAAATGCAATCCCTCTCAAAATACCAGTGACATTCTTCACAGAAATAGAAAAAAAAATCTTAAAATTTATCTGGAAACACACAAGACCCAAAATAGCCAAAGCTATCCTAAGAAAAAAATGAAACTGGAGGAATCACATTACCTGATTTCAACTTACACTGCAGAGCTGTAGTAACCAAACCAGCATGGTACCAGCATAAAAACAGACACACACCAATGGGACAGAATAGAGAACCCAGGGCTGGTTGCAGTGGCTCATGCCTCTAATCCCAGCACTTTGGGAGGCCAAGGCATGCGGATCACCTGAGGCCAGGAGTTCAAGACTAGCCTGACCAACATGGTGAAACCCCGTCTTTACTAAAAATACAAAAAATTAGCCAGGTGTGAGGGTGGGTGCCTGTAATCTCAGCTACTCGGGAGGCTGAGGCAGGAGAATCGCTTGAACCTAGGAGTCAGAGGTTGCAGTGAGCCAAGATGGCACCACTACACTCCAACCTGGGTGCAACAGAGTGAGACTCCATCTAAAAAAAAAAAAATAGTGAACACAGAAATAAATCCATCCATCTACATACAGTAAACTTATTTTTGACAAAGGTGACAAGAATATACATTGGAAGAAAGGACAATCTCTTCAATAAGTGGTGCTGAGAAAAAACTGGATATCCTTATACAGAAGAATGAAACTGGACACCTATCTCTCACCATATACAAAACTCAAATCAATATGGATGAAAGACAAAGACAAATCTCAAAACTATGAAACTACTAAAAGAAAACACTGAGGAACTCTCCGGGACACTGGACTGGGCAAAATTTTTTGAGTAATACCCCACGACCACACGCATCCAAAGCAAAAATGGACAAATGGGATCACATCAAGTTAAAAATCTCCTGCACAGCAAAGGATACAATCAACAAAGTGAGGAGACAACCCACAGAAAGGGAGAAAATATTTGCAAACTATCCATTGGACAAAGGATTAATAACCAGAATATATAAAGGGGTCAAACAACTCAATAGGAAAGCTAATAATCCAGTTTAAAAATGGGCAAAAGATCTGAATAGATATTTCTCGAAAGAAGGCATACAAATGGCAAACAGGCATATGAAATGGTACTCAATATCATTGCTCATCAGGTAAATGCAAGTCAAAACTATGAGATATCATTTCACCTCAGTTAAAATGGCTTTTATCCAAAAGGCAGGCAATAATGAATGCTGGCAGGGATGTGAAGAAGAGAACCCTCATACACTGTGAGGTGACAGGCAAAGGAAATGTAACATACACATAATTGGAATCCCCAACAAAATATTGGAAAAATGGACAATAATAAATACTAAAAAAGAGTAAGTCAAGAATGTCTTCCACAATCCTGTGCCTGCACATGTCATCCACAGGCCCAAGGGCTAGCCAGCCCTGCCTGCTGCCACCACCACTAGCACGGGGGGCCTGAGGGTGCACCTGCTTAGCCCATCACTGGTATCATCAACACCCATGTAAGATGCCCAGGGGTTCAATGACCAGTATGCAAAGGGCCTTCTGCCACCACAGCCAGTGCCTATGCTGCCACCCAGGGTAATGAGGACTAGCTTACACAGCACTTCAGCCTCCAGCAAAGCATCACCACAGCCTCCAGAAACAGCCACAGCCTAAGCTACCGAGGAACTTGCAGATACCACTGACGTTGATTACAGCCACAGAAATCATACAGAGACTACATTACAGCACCCACTTAGAATTAAAGCCAAAGTACCCTACCCAACTGACACTATGGATACAATTATAGGAAAAGTATTTCCCTAAGAAAGCTACTTCATAAAATTGGTAGAAGTGACTGTTACAACAGATGCACAGTTATCAACCTAAGGACACAGGAAACATGAAAAAGCAAGGAAACATGACAGCTTCAAAGGAACACAATAATTCTCCAGCAGCTTCAAAGGAACACAATAATTCTCCAGCAGCAGACCCCAAAGAAAAGGAAATCTGTGAAATGCCTGAAAAGAATTTCAAAATAATAATCTTAAGTCTTAGCAAGATATACAGAAAGACAAAACAAAGAAATCAGGAAAACAATTGATGATCTGAATGAGAAATTCAACAAAGAAATACATTTCATAAAATGAACCAAACAGAAATCCTGCAACTGAAGAATTCAGTGAACCAAAAATACAACCAAGAGCTTCAATAATCTATTATATCAAGCAGAAGAAAGAATTTCTGAATTTGAAGACAGAGCAACGAGCACTTTTTGTTTGTTTTGTTTTGTTTTTGAGACAGAATCTTGCTCTGTCACCCAGGCTGCATGGCATGGTCACAGCTCACTGCAGCCTCAACCTACCAGGCTCAAGTGATCCTCCCATCTCAGCCTCCTGAGCAGCTGGGACTACAGGCGTGCCCTGCCACACGTGGCTAGTTTTTAAACTTTTTGTAGAGATGGCATCTCACTATGTTGCCAAGGCTAGTCTCAAACCCCTGGGCTCAAGCAATCCTCCCATCTTGACCTCCCAAAGTGCTGCGATTACAGGCATGAGCCACCATGCCTGGCCGAAGACAAAGCTTTTGAAATAACCCAGTCAGACTGAAAAAAAAAAAAAAAAAACAATGAAAAGACTGGGTGCAGTAGCTCACACCTGTAATCCCAGCACTTTGGGAGGCTGAGGCGGGCAGATCACCTGAGGTGGGGAGTTTGAGACCAGCCTGACCAACGTGGAGAAACCCAGAGTCTACTAAAAATACAAAATTAGCCAGCATGGTTGCACATGCCTGTAATCCCAGCTACTCGGGAGGCTGAGGCAGGATAATCACTTGAACCCGGGAGGCGGAGGTTGCAGTGAGCCAAGATCGCACCATTGCACTCCAGCCTGGGCAACAAAAGCAAAACTCCATCTCAAAAAGAAATAACGGCCAGGCGCAGTGGCTCATGCCTATAATCTCAGCACTTTGGGAGGCCAAGGCAGGTGGATCACCTGAGGTCAGGAGTTTGAGACCAGCCTGACCAACATGAAGAAACCCCGTCTCTACTAAAAATACAAAATTAGTCGGGTGTGATGGCGCATGCCTGTAATTCCAGCTACTCAGGAGGCTGAGGCAGAAGAATCGCTTGAACCCAGGAGTTGGAGGTTGCGGTGAGCCGAGATCGTGCCATTGCACTCCAGCCTGGGCAATAAGAGTGAAACTCCGTCTCAAAAAAAAAAAAAAAAAAAAGAAAAAGAAAAAACAAAAGAAAAAAAGAAAAATCCTGTGTGACATATGGAACACCACCAAGTGAACAAATATTCAAATTTTAGGAATTCCAGAAAGAGAAGAGATGGGGAAAGGCATAGAAAATTTATTCAATGAACTAATAGCTGAAAATTTCTCCAGTCTTGGAAGAGATATAAACATTTAGGTAATTATTATGCCACTTTCTGGCTTCTGTGATACTAATGAGATGTCAACAATCTAATTGTCATTCCTTTGTAAATAATCTGTTTTTTTTTCTTTAGGGCTATTTTAAAATATTTTCTGTTTCCTTGATTTCTCCTCCTTTGGATGTATTGGGCTTCCTGACTCTTTGAAGAATCTATCCAGTGTCTTTAAGGTATCTGAAAAATTCTCAGCCATTGTCTCTTTAAATATTGCCTCTCGTGTTATTTCTATTATTTCCTTCAAAAACTCTTTTACATGTATGTTAGGTTCTCTGTTTCCATCATCCATGGTTTTTCAACTGTTTTTAAGTGTTTTGTCTCTTTGTTTCTCTGGACTGCATTCTGATGTAATTTCTTTGGATCTGTTTTCCAGTTCACTGTTTCTCTCTTCGTCTGTGTCTAAATCTGTTGTTCAGACATCGAATTTTATAGTAATTTGTTTCCTTTGTTCTTATTCTTGATTGTGAACTGTTCATTTGCTTTGTAAATATATTAGTTGGAATTATTTGAGTCTTTGACTTAATTTTCCCCAGAAAGATTTGTATTTCCTTCAACTTGTCACCTTGATGGGAGGGGGGAAGAGGTGTCTCCAGTATAGGACTATTTTTGTAAATAAATCAACTTAAAATTTGGACCACACAAAGTTAGACTGAATTTGGATCATCAACTTCATTGAGGTCTGCCTTGAGTTTATAAATTCTTGGGGTATTTTTTTCTCCTTCCTCAATGTTACTGCTGAACTGTATCTTGGCCTTTTGGCTAAGATCAAGTGGAGTATCTTTTCTTATCAGTTTAATGTTAGGGCTGAGACAGGAACATTTCCTGCATGTCTATGTACAATTGCATGAAATTTTTCATTTACAGTTTGAAGTTTCTGCTGTACAAAGGGTCCTCTTCTATTTTTCCCACCTTGGGAAGATCCTCAGGCTTATTTCCTCTCCTCTCAGCCCTCTATCATTGTCAGACTTGCTCAGTGTTTGCAGGGTTCTGTAGAAAACCTGGATTTGAAAGTTGGATTTGGCATGGCTTGTCTCCTGGGGTTCTTGATTTCCCTCTCTTTGTTCCTTGTGGTTTATTTGCTTTCATGAATGATCTGTGGTATGTTTTATAAGTTTCTTTGAATTCAACTATTTACTTTATTCAGGAGGGTTGTTCAGGGCATCTTATCTGCAATAGTATAAGAATTATAATCCCCAAGGCTATTCTTCACTTTCTATGTCCTTTTGGTTTGGATCTGTCTTAACCTAGAAAACAGAGCCTGAGGCAAGGATGTAAAGCATTGGGGCTTTATTTGGGAAGTGTAAACCCAGGACTGTGAGAGTGAGGTGCGAGAGATTGAGGCAAGGAAGGACCTCCCTGCAGTGATGCGATGTGAGTCTCAACTGTGCTGGCTGCTGTTTCATAAGGGGCTGAAGTGACCTGGCTCGGCAGATGCCTCTGGGTCAGCTGCATGGGAAGATGGCTCCAGGGATTCCACAGGAGGGGAACGGAATGTATCTTCTGGCTCTCTTCTGGCGGCTACTTTCCACTGGTCAGAGCTGTCCCCGCAGGGAATCAGGGGCCCTGGGTTGCATTCCCAGCCTCCTCAGCAGCTGCTCTGGGTACCACATCCCCATGCTGCAGAGTGGCATCTCATGAGGACACAGAAGTGGCAGGTGGAGCATGTGGCTGGTCTGCCTGGCTGCACTGAGTTGGTCGAGGCAGGTCAGCAGGAACCTGAGTGGCTGCTTGGCCCACACCACAGCAGAGCCAGGGAGACCAGCAGGCACACGAGATGTCTGCTGACACAGGGTCTAAGATGGCCCAGTTATGCACTGGCCCCTGTGCATTTCTGGGCCACGACACCTTCTGAATTGAGTTCTCAGTGTCATTACAAGTCACAGGTTTCTGGGTGATGTTAAGATATCACAAGGTGGACTGGCTATGTTTCCAACCCTTTTTCCTCTAGCTCCGTACACCATCTCCATCCCCAGCGCTGGCCCTTGGCAGCTCAGGGTAAAGTCATGTGAAGCTCTGGGTGCAGGTCAAGGGCTAGTGGTGGAGGTAAGAGGCTCTGCTCCTATGGGGTGGGGGTGAGGGGCTCTGTGCCTATGGAGTGAGGGTCAGGGGGTGAGGGGCTCTGTGCCTATGGGGTGGGGGTGAGGGGTGGGGGGCTCTGTGCCTATGGGGTGGGGATGAGGGGTGGGGGGCTCTGTGCCTATGGGGTGGGGGTGAGGGGTGAGGGGCTCTGTGCCTATGGGGTGGGGGTGAGGGGTGGGGGGCTCTGTGCCTATGGGGTGGGGGTGAGGGGTGAGGGGCTCTGTGCCTATGGGGTGGGGGTGAAGGGCTCTGCGCCTAAGGGCTAGTGGTGGTAAGAGGCTCTGCTCCTATGGGGTGGGGAGGCCCCTGGGGTGGATAAGTTCAGCTGTGGGGAGGCAGTGGGAAGCTGGTTTGGGTAGCGGGTTCAGACTTGTTTCCAGGCAAGGGTATCAGAGCCCTGCTGGATTTCAACCCTCTGACACCCCAAGTCCAAGGTCAGTACCCCAAGTCCTTCCAGGGCAGAACCTCAAAACCCCCACAGGAGTGATACGAGGTATGGAACTGGGTTCCTGGACAGCCAGCCTTGTAGGTGTGCAGAGACGTCCTCTTCATTGTGATGCTGTCACTAATACTGTAAAAGATTGGTCATTGTTCAGTAGGAGAAAAGAATTCTGTCTGCACATTACAGTCGTAATGCCCCCACTGGCTCTAAGAATTCCTGAAACAAGGGGCTCATCTGACCTGACGTCATGTGTGACCATGGAGTCCATCTCCCACGGACGTGAGCTGAGGGAGCAGAAGCCAGATTGTGTGCCCTTCCCCACACGAAGAGCCTCAGGTCTTGGTAGAGCAGCATGACATTCTGGTGTGGCCATAAGAGGGTGTGGGAGGGGCAGACGGGGGAGAAAAATGGGGCAAGCAGCGCCTCCTCAGCCCCCCAACCCAATGACCCTTAACAGCCACCAGCACCCACAGGAGCAGGTGTTTTAGGACAGCCAGTCGAGAAGGCGAGGTAAACATCCTCTGTGTCTAGCCTGGTGACAAGTTTGAGCTTATGGGACATTAACTCACAAAGCAAAGTAACTGCAGCACGCTGTGAACCCTCCCTGAATTAATGGCAGGGGAATCTGCTTCAAGCAGAAATGGGTTATCTACAGAAACTTTGGATGTGCAGTTTAGTCTGAATCCTCCCCATTAATGGTGAGGGTAATGGGGTGGAGAGGACAGCCTCAGCCGGCCCCAGCTGACTTCTCTCCGCTGTGGAAGTTAATTCTGTGATGCTGTGGGGCCTGACAGCGTTTTTTGCCTTCCTGCTTTTTTTAAGGCAGACATTGCCAATTCACCTTTCCGGAGTTGTCTTCTGTTCCGCGTGGGGAGAAGATGATCGAGGGGGCTGCTGGGAGCATAGGGGAGGCACCTTGTGCCCACACACATCTGCAGATGAACTCTTGGGGTCATGCGGAGTGAGTCCTAACTGTGTACGGCTTTAGAGGGCGTCTCCAACTCAACCAACTGCTCAGTGCTCAGAGCAGTCTTATCTCATGGATACATCATGACAGATGCCAATGGCAATGTAATCATCAGAAAGTATTCTTTAAATTTCTTGAAGCAAGCAACCAGAAATATTAAAGATAAGCCTAAATATAAGGCAGCCCTCTGTAACCCACCCACATGACACTGGTGTAGGTTTGCACACGCCTTGCATTCCATGGAGTCATCGAATGGTTATACAAGTGTTATTTGTGGCCAGGCACGGTGGCTCACGCCTGTAATCCCACCACTTTGGGAGGCCGAGGCAGGTGGATCACCTGAGGTCAGGAGTTCGAGACCAGCCTGACCAACATGGAGAAACCCCGTCTCTACTAAAAATACAAAATTAGCCAGGCATGGTGGTGCATGCCTGTAATTCCAGCTACTCAGGAGGCTGAGGCAGGAGAAATGCTTGAATCCGGGAGGCGGAGGTTGTAGTGAGCCAAGATCGTGCCATTGCACTCCAGCCTGGGCAACAAGAGCAAAACTCCATCTCAAAAAAAAAAAAGTGTTATTTGTGTTATTTTAATGTTCTCCCTTTCACTTCAAGTCGATATACCTTTCTACATGCCTAACTTTATTATACTTTTCAATACTGCCTAGTTGTATATTTAGGAGAGGTACAGTAATTTACTAAAACATCTCCATTATTGCACATTTAGTCAAATAGTTGTTTTTTCGTTTAAGTGATGTCATAATGAACATCTCCATGGTGGTTTTGTTTCAGGTGAGATTCTTGTTCTTAAGCTGCATCCCCAGGAGTAGGATTACTGGGTCAAAGCACAGACACATCTTTATGACTTTTGCTCTGTGTTACCAAAACTCACAAAAATGTTTAAAGGATTGTTTGAAAAAAGGTTGTGTTCAAGGTGGTTCAAGAGAATCAGGAGTTTCAGGCTGTCCAGAATTTTGTAAACCAAAACCACACCCCTAATGCAAAGAAGTTATGGATCTTATAAAAGAAAGAAAGAAAATCTGTATGACGCTGAGCAGAAAACATCACTCATCAGCCCGATACTTATTTTTGCCATAGTTGACTTGTTTAAAAAGCTGTAATTTCAGAAGATGTGTTATTTTTAGTAATAATACTCAGTAGCTGACATCTACTGAACTCTTAATGTTCCGGGCACCATAGTAAGCATTTAACATGAATTTTCACACATAATCTGTATGACAACCCACGGAATAGCCCTATTTTATTTTACAGCTTTGGAAACTGGGGTTAGAGAAGCAAGTAGCCCCAAATCACACAGGGGCATAGGGCTGAGCGTGGATTCACGTCAGCTGGGCTAAAGCCAGAGCCGGTGCTTTGGCTTTATCCAATTGTGTTAGGACTCTGTGCTACTGATCAATGAGCTATCGATGAATATCAGAAAATCGATTGATTAAGGACACCTGACAGTGAGGTCTTAGGAGTCACTTTTCCTCTTGGTACAGATGAATACCTACAACAGAGAGAAGGACAAAGCTGTCCTGCAGTGCCGGGCTCACCTGCGCCACCGCCTGCAGCCTTTGCTTCCTGACTCAGCCTAACTCCCAATGTCAGAATAAATGCAGGAGAGGGCAGTTTGGTGATAAAAGGAGAGGAACTATACTTGGAAATGATATTTTTCTGCATATTTAGAACCAAAAACCCCACTGGTTCATTGATCTCTGTGAGTAAAGGGTTAATAAAGCTCCCTTTCTGGAATTGAATCTGACCTCTGCTCACCTCCAGCTCTGTCCCTTGGGAAATCTGAGAGGGAGGGCCACCAGCTCTATTCCCAGGTGTGGGCAGCAGAATTCCAGCCTCGGCAAACGCCGTCCCAGAAGTGAGGTCGCCCGTGAAAATGCTGCGTTGCTTGGCAAGAGGGACCTGCGCCAATGTCATTAAGATTCCTAATCAGCTGACCTTAAAGTAGATGAGCCTGGATCCTCTGGGCGATGTGAGTCCCTGACAGCAGGAGAGGGGGCAGGAGGGGAAGGCGGGGACTCGAAGCATGAGGGAGACTGGCTGCTGCTGCTGCTGGCATAGAAGGAGCTGGCTTCTGCCAAGAACCTGAGGGAGCCCAGTCGCTGCTGCCTCCCCAGCACCCTCAGGCAAGACCTCAGGCTGGGCATCGCCTTGCCTTTGGCCTGGTGAGGCTCCAAGCAGAGAACCCAGTCATCACCCTCAGAAACTTGTTTCAGTCCTTTCGGTTTGTAACAATCCAAGCACCGCCCCCAGAGTTACATGATAACTTTCATTGTCTCCTTCACTGTGGAGGCCATGAGGAGCCCCTGCCTGAAAAATCCTCAAGTCCCCATGCTGAGTTGAACCGTACAGTCCGCAGTAGGGCAGGACCTGCCCGCCTGTTCGTCACCCCTGGCGGTGGCTGTGCGGTGAGTCTCCCGTAAGCAGCACATAACTCAGCTTCAAAAACCCAATCTCATAATTGTGCCTTTGATCAGAAGTTGTATCTATTTAGATTTATTGTGATTTCTGATATATTTGGATTGTTTATACCTCTCTATATTGTGTTTTCTAATTTATCCTTTTGTTGTTTTTTTCTCCTTTCTTACCCCTTCTTTTGGTTGATTCATTCTTTCTGCTTATCCCACTTTCACTCCTTCACACTACTTTGAGAATTATATTCTCTATTCCTGTTGTTTTGGTGGGGAATCTCAAAACTTTAATCTACTGTTTATCTTAGAGTCTAAAGTGGCAGGAGCAATGCTGCACGCCTGTAATCCTAGCACCTTGGGCGGCTGAGGTGAGGGGATCACTTGAAGCCAGGATTTCGAGACCAGCCTGGGCAACATAGTGAGACCCTGTCTCTACAAAATATGGAGGGGGGAAAAAAACCTAGCTGAGTGTGGTGGCATGTACCCGTAGTCCTAGCTACTCAGGAGGCTGAGGTGGGAGGATTGCTTGGGCCCAAGAATTCCAGGCTATGGTGAGCTACGATCATGCCACTGCACTGCAGCCTGGGCAACAGAGCGAGACCCCATCTCTTAAAAAAAAAAAAAAAAGCCTAAGGCTATTCAGTGTCTTCAGTCTCTTTTCATTCTTCTCAAACATCCAGAGTTTCTGAAACTCACGTAGTTTGCTCATAAACTACTCAAGGTAGTTTGCTGTACCTTGTTTTTCTCACCCCAGCAAGCAGGGCTATTGCTGTTACTGGTGTTAGGATTATTAACACAGTGAGTTTAACTTTATTCATGTTTATGGTTCCCTTGCTTCAGTATCTCTTTTTGTGTCTTCAACTTTCCTTCTGGGATTATTTTTCATCTTCAAAGGTCCTTTACTGAGATGTGTTTATGGTAAACCGTGTTGGTTTTTCTTTGTCTGGAAGTAATCTGTATTTTCCTCTTAATTTTGAAAGATAGTTTTGCAGATAACAGAAGTCTAGATTGAGAGTATTTTCCCCAAGTGCTTTGAGATATTACTGGCGCCTCCCGGCACCCAGTGTGGTAAGGAAGCTGGCTCTCAGCCTTGTTGCTGCTCTTTTATGGGTCATCTGCCTTTTCTCTCCTGGGACTCAGCATCCTCTGTCTTTGTTTTCTGCAGGTTCACCATCACTCTCCAAATGTGGGTTTCTTTTGATTTAGCCTGTTGGGATTCACTGGGCCTTCTGAATGTGAGGATTTATGTCTGGAAAATCCTCACCTGACATCTCCTTGAATGTGACCTCTCCTGCATGCTTTATTGTCTCTTTCTAGAATATTCTTTACATAAAGATGAAGCCTGTACATTCTCTCTTCTGTGTCCTTTCATATTTCTTTGATTTTCTATCTCTTTAGCTTTCTTGGCTGCATTCTGTGTAACATTATCAGATTTATCATTCGGTTCATGAATTATCTTTCAAGTGTGTCAAATTTGCTATTCATGTTTCTAATTTCAATGATATTTTAATTTCTAATTGTATTTCATTTTTGATAACATCTTGTTCCTTTGTCACACTTCAGTACCCTCTCTTATTTCTGTAAATATGTTAGCCGTCATTACTGTATACTCTGCCTTGGATTATTCCACTATTTGCATTGTGATGAGTCTGATTGTACATTTGGTTGTTTCTGCTGACTTACCCATGGTGGCCGGCTTCCTGGTGCGTGTGGTGCCTCTGTGTTGTGAAATCACATTTGCATGCATGGGACTCTCAGGCATCCGAGGGTGGATCCCTGCAGAGGCTTTGTGCCTGCCTTTGCCAGGACCCGAGCAGCCCACTTGGAAGTACATTTTGTGGGTGTGGATGCTTTAAACCTTGAACCCACTTGAGGATGGCAGTGGTAGAAATTCTCGAGACTTTTTCTCTTATTTGCTCCTCTTTTCAGAGCCGAGGCTCACGCAGCAAGCGTCCCTGCCACTTCCCCGTGACTGGCGGGTTTCCCTGGCTCACTCTTGAGGGCCCTTCTTTTGGGCTCCTGGCTTCCTGCAGGGCTTCTGCTCTGGGTTCCTGCCTCACACAGGCCCCAGGCTTCATCTCTGTGCTTGCCTGGGGCTCATTAATGTTCAGGATCCTGGACAGCAGGGATCAACAGGACCTGTACAGACGGTGCTGTGCCCAGGTGGACTCACGCTTCTCCATGGCCTCAGGCCTTTTGGGATTCAAGTTACCTTCTCCCCAAAAAGATTTTCAAATGTGATGTTATTGGGCATTTTCGGGTTTTAGAGGCTGTCTGTTGGGAGGCCTCCTCCCCCATCTCTTCTGCTGTATTCTGGAAGGGGTGTTCCTGGCCCACCTCCTCAGGATTAGAGAACTGCATTGCCGCCGACATTTGAAGGACTCGACACAGTGGCCCAGCCTTCCTGTTCATCTTCTCTGTCTGCTTTCCAGCTTCTGCTAGGCCTGTGCACCGTGGTGTGTCTCCTGCCCGCTCCCTGCATGCAGAACGTCACTTGTTCTACAGCTTTCCCTGATGTGGTCTCACTGTCCCTGTCCCTGTGGCCACTTATGTGCCTGTTTATTCATCCTCCATGTTCCCTGAGGAGACGGGCCTGGGAGGGCAGAGGCAGGCCCCACTCACACTCAGACCCCAAGCCTGGGCCTACTGCTGGCCACGTGGTGGCTCAGGAGACCGTGGCATCTGCCTCCTGGCGCAGGTGGCATGTGCCCGTTCTCCTGAGGGGCATTCTCTGCAGACCAGCTCACATGCTGTAGCATTGCGGCCTTTCTCAGGAGTCAGCAAGCATGTGTGTTCGTGCAAGCCTTTCTAGAAAGTGACGGGTGGGGACGTGTTGGCAGTGGGGGGAGGGGAGGGGCCGATAGCCTTGCAGCCTCTTGCGGGCCCAGGGCTGTCCGCTCTCCGTACCACTCACATGGCCACCCTGAGGGCAGTGAACCCGGGGCCGTGAAGCTGCTCTGGTGTGTCCTGAAAAGGCCTTTCCATAGGAGCGAGAGGTGGCCGTAATGGCTGATGGGTCTGGAACGCATGGTCCCGCAGAGAGGCACGGCTCCACGGCGCCCCCAAAATGTGAGCCCCTCCATTCACTCCTGTCATTCCCGCTTGTCGGGGCCGGGTCACTGAACTCCCAGGCCCGCTTGGGCTGCCCCCCGCTCCCTGAAGACTCCGTGGCAGAGGGCTGGAGTGCAGGGAGGAGATGGCCCCAGCAGTGGGGGGTCTGGAAACATCTCCCTTCATCATCTTTGGGGTCCCCTCTGGACCCGCCATGGCCTCCCTCACACTCCTCCGTGCAGGTCCAGGCTCTGCCTCACACGTGCCTTGCTTGCCACACTGGGGGCTGGGAGGCTGGGTGGGCTGGGGGTCTGCCCTCCGCCTTGAGGAGCAGGACATCGAATCCACCCTAAACTGACTCAGCCCTGCCCTGGCCTCTTCTTGAGGTGGAAGCGGTGTGTGCAATGGGAGGGGTGTCGGGGCAGAACTGTGTCCCCCAAAATTCATATGTTGAAGCTCTAACCCCTAGAACCTCAGAATGTGACTTAGGTCTTAAAAGGAAATAGGGGCTTAAAAATGGGGATTGAGTTAAAACGGAGGCCTTAAGTCATTAAATTGTACACCTTCAATACGTAACCTTGCAGTGCCCCAGATACCTTAATAGATAAATGTTTAAGGCAAAGGACATCAGCAGGGTGGCTGGGACCCAGTCTGCCTGGTGTCCCTGTAAGAGGAGGGGGTGAGGATATAGACACACGCAGAGGGATGGCACCGTGAGGACACAGGGAGGAGACAGCGTCTGTGAGTCCAGGACCATCTCAGGAAGCAGCCCTGCCCCTCCTTGACCTCGGAGCCAGCCTCCAGGAGAATCCCTCCGTGTTGGTGCTGAAGCCCCCAGGCTGTGGTGTTTTCTCACAGCCGCCCTGAGTGACTCACAGCAGTTTGTCCCTGATGACTCTGTGCTCTCCTGGGGCTATGTCTTGGTTCTGTGGCTGAGCACCCCTGTTCCCTGCCCTTCCAGGCTCCTGCTCTGACAGCTGGGTGCCTGTGCTGATCTCCTGGCTGGGGCCGGAGACTCGCAGATAGGAAGTGGGTATTCCTGCCAGGAGCAGGGCGTGCACTTCTGAAAACAGGAGGGTGATCGGTGCAGGGGAAGCCTGGCTTCATGTGCTGCTGGAAGTGGATCTGGGGATGAGTGACTCGGCTTGAATCCCTCAGGAGGTGTCGGGCGCCAAGGTCCCGAGCAGTTCCTGCTTCTCGTTTTTATAACCTGAGGTGTCCCAATTAGCTGCTGCTTCAGAACAAATCACCCTCAAACTTAATGGCATAAACAACCACTCATTTAATTGTCTTCCACAGTCCTCTGGGTCAAGGTTCCAGGCGGGCTGGGCTCAGGGCTCTACTTGCAAAATGCACTTTATGGGCCCAGCTTCTCCCTGCCGTGGTGGGGGCCCAAGAAGCATCCCCAGTCTGGTGGAGTCCCCGGTCTGGATGACCCCCCGGTCTGGTGGAGCCCCCCGGTCTGGTGGAGCCCCCCGGTCTGGATGAGCCTCTGGTCTGGTGGAGCCCCCAGTCTGGATGAGCCTCTGGTCTGGTGGAGCCCCCGGTCTGGTGCAGCCCCCGGTCTGGATGAGCCCCCGGTCTGGTGGAGCCCCCCGGTCTGGTGGAGCCCCCGGTCTGGTGGAGCCCCCCGGTCTGGTGGAGCCCCCCGGTCTGGTGGAGCCCCCGGTCTGGATGAGCCTCTGGTCTGGTGGAGCCCCCGGTCTGGTGGCGTCCCCGGTCTGGTGGCGTCCCCGGTCTGGTAGAGAACGTTGAGGTGAGTGCTCGAGGGGTTGCTCGCTGCTGCTGGGCCCCACGGTGCCCACCTGGCCCCCAGGACCCCAACCCCACACAGCCCTTTGTTAGCCTCCCCACCCCATGCACCTTCCTCCCTCCCCAGAACATCTGGTGAAGATTTGTTGTAACCTCCTGGGCCCACAGTCCTTGGGGCTGCTGCGGTCCGAGTGTCGGTGTCCCCCAGAATTCACGTGTTGAAATCTTACACCCCAGTGAGCTGGTGTTAGGCCTTTAGGTGAGTGATGAGGCACGAGGCTGGAGCCCCTTGAATGCGATTCCCAGGGGTCAGCACAGCCTCGTGCCTGAGAAAGCAGACGCAGCCGGGGAGTTGAGACACGGCGCCAACACGATGTGAGCAGGAGGCCACGCATAGAGACGAAGTTTAGTTTCATTAAATGTCTTTCTCTTTGGCCGCGTTGCGGGAAAAATTTCTGCTGCTCACGAGTAGAAACACAAAGCAGACAGAAGAAGCCACTTGCTGAGGGAACCCAGGGAAGGGTGAACAGAGGCAGGCAGGTCGGAGGGCCAGGGAGGAGCCTGGCGGCCCGGAGCTAGGGGACAGGCAGGGCCACCTTGTGAAAGCAGAGGGAGCCTGGGGGCTTGGGTGGGTCGACCCTTTCTTGTGCTGCCTGTGTTCTTCCCTGAGTGCAGGAGAGAGAGGGAGACACAGAGAGAGGGAGAAAGAAAGGGAGAGATGGGGGAGAAACACAGAGACAGGGAGACACAGAGGGAGAGACATAGAGGGAGAGACAGAGAAACATGGGGAGAGATAGAGGGACAGAGAAGGAGTGATGGGGAGAGAGGGAGAGACAGAGAGACTCAAAGAGACAGTGACTGAGGGGAGAGGCACAGAGACAAACAGAGCAGAAGGGGGAAACAGAGACAGAAAGAGACACGGAAGAGGGTCCTGGGCGGGGCCAGGAGCTCTGGTTTTGGGGGCAATAGGACTCAGTACCCGAGGGGATGTGCTCGGCGTTTGGGTGGATGGGGGGCGGGTGAGAATGGGGGAGGCTGTTTCCTCAGTTTGGAGGCTCCATTGACTGTAGGAGACACAGTAGCAGAGAGAGTGAAATGAAAACTAAATCGATCTCGGAAGGAGACAGGGCGGAAGACGTGGCTTTTGTCCCGAAGTTTCCAAAATTCCATGCACTGCACAAGTGTATTTGGGGCAGGGTGTGAACGGGCTTCCAGGATCCCCCACCTGATGGAGCCGAAGGTGCGGCGTCACCTGCTTCAGGAGAGCAGCTGCAACCACAGCTGGCCAGGGCCCCGCCTCCCAGCCCAGCTCTCCTGCCTGCCTGGGTGGTAACTCCACCCACAGGTGGCAGCCGTGGCCACGTGTCTCTGGGCCACGTGATTGTGTGGGGTCAGGCGTGACTCCTGCTGGGCTCTTCCACCTGCCAGGCTTGGGGGTGGGAGTGGGAGGACGTGGCTGTTGCTGTGGGGGCATCCCTCTTGTCACCGTGGCAGAGGAGCCTGGAGGAGATCCCAGCAGTGCCCCCCCACACACACCCGGAGCGGATCCCAGCAGTGCCCCCCACACACACCCAGAGCGGATCCCAGCAGTGCCCCCCACACACACCCGGAGCGGATCCCAGCAGTGCCCCCCACACACACCCGGAGCCGATCCCAGCAGTGCCGCCTGTGTCCCTGGATCCAGCCGTGCCTGAGGCCACCTCACCCACTGCCTTTTGAGTGGTGGAAGTTGTGCTCTTGAACTTCAAAGCCAACTTGGGTCAGGCTTTTGTTCTCTTGCGGCTGAAAACGTGCTGGGGTGGTTGTGGGTGGGTGGCAGGTGCCTCAGGAGGTGGCACAGCTTCGTGGGCAGGGCCCAGAGGTGCTGACCCGGGAGGCCTCCTGGTGCCACGGGGAGAGCCATGTTGAGGGGTCTGGCACGGATGGTGGGAAGCACCAAGTAAGTGGCCCTGACTCCAAGAGAACGGGGGAGTCCAGGGCTGCAGGACGGAAGGGCCCAGTGCTGCCTGTGGCGGCCGGGGCAGTTCTGGCGCCTCACGGGAGGGGCAGCCGTGGAAGCCCCATGAGCTTCCTAGGTACCAGGCCCTCTCTCGGCAGGACGAATCTCACGTGGTCCTTGCTGCCTGGATGGAGGGGAGTGACTAAAGATGGCAGGGACAGAGGCGTGGCAGGTCCTGTCTGCAGGGTGCCGCCCCGAGGTGGAGCAGGGGGCCTGGCAGTCCCACCAGGCTCAGAGCCTCCCCTCACCCCGCGCTTGGCTGGGGACATCAGAGCCTGTGGTGAGGGCACCTGTAATTCTTGATGGGGGCTCTGCTGGGTCGGGGGCTGCTTAGGCCTGGATGCCCTGATTGTGCCCATCCCCCTCTCCCTCCACACTGTCCCCTGCTCCCGAGGGGCTCCCTGCAGCCCTGACTCTGGCTGGCAGGGGAGGAGTCTGTGGTTGGTGGCGCACAGCAGGTGCGCAGCTGCTGACCAGAGCTGCCCCCGGGCTGGGGAACTGAAGGAAGGGCTGTGGAGCCTGAAGCCTGGGCCTGGCCTGTGCTGCGGCCGCACCGCTGGGTGATGCAGGAGCCACTCCACCTCCCTGGCACCCCAGCCTCATCCGGCAACCTGGGAGCGTGGGCCTCCTGCCCCTCCAGGGAGGCCCTGGCCGTGTCCTCATGGGGCCCCTCCAGGTCCTTGTGGCTCCAGGTCGGGACAGTGGCTGTGAGATCTGACCCTCCCGTTCCCCCTCCACCAAGTAGGAGAAACCCCGGAGCATGAGCCCTCGTCCTTCACCGTCCCGGGGACAGGGGGACCCCCAGATGCTGCACGGCTGACAGGCCAACGTGGCAGAAGCTCCAGCTTCACAGGAAGCCAGTGACCATGAGAGTCTGTAGCTGTAACGAAGCCACAGAGCTGTGGCTTTCTTTCCCCTTCAGCTCTAGGAAAGGTTATCTGCCCTGCACAGATCTCCGGAGGCCTGGCTGGGCTCTGAGAGCATCAGACTGATTATCGTAAGAAAATAATCTCTGCAGACACATTCCTTGCTAGAAGCAGGGGACAAAGCCCAGCTTCAAAGACAATTCCACACACGCCCTCCCTGCCCTGCACAGCTGCCTGCCGGGTGGGAGCAGAGCCCTTGCAGCCGGGCTCAGGGGCCTGGGCAGGGACAGCGTGTGGCAGGGGCACAGCTGAGACAGGAGCCTCAAAGCGACACCAACCCGACGTGAAGCTACAGTTGAGGAGACACAGCTGCCCCCATTCCCGGGCCTCATCTCCACAGTGAGACGCTGGACTCTCTCCCTGACCCACCGTCTCTTAGAACCTCCCCTCCATCCGGAGCAGTTCGGCAGCCCCAGGGCAGCCAGGGGAACCCTGCCGAGTGCCTCTGGGCCGCCACAGACCGCAGAGCCCGCGGGAGCCTTGCTCACACAGCCTCAGGTCCACTGTGGTCTTGGGGGAAAGCCCTGTCCTGGGACAGGGGAGCCGGGGGTCCTGGCCCTGGACCACCATCTGGGGACCACGTTGTCACGCCTGCAAAGCTCCCTGCCCCACCCCCATGTGCCGGCTGGTGTTGACACCTTTGTAGAGTGGGAACCTGCCTCCGACCCCAGCCTGCAGCCACAGGGCAGGTTATAGACCAGGTGAGAGGGCGCCGCGCCCAGAACCAAGGAGCACAAGTCCGCAGTGCCCATGAGATCCTCATGCTGGCCGGCGCAGGAGCCATCCTCGGCCTCTGCAGGTCCTCGTGGGAAACCGCGGGGGCACGTGGGGCGGCTGCAGGGTCCGCAAAGCCGGCTGTTTGCGAAGGGCGCAGCTCCACCTGGAACAGCCGAGGCCGCCCACGCGCTTCCCGCGGGATCAGAGCAGCCTCCACGGCTGTTGTCTCAGGCACCACGGGATGCCTTTCTTCGTTTCAATAGCTGTGGGAAAGCCTCAATCGGTCCTGAAAGAACCCAGATGTGCAGCAATGACAAGGCCTTCTCTGAGACTCTAGAACCTTCTGCCATCTCAGACAGGAGGGAGCCGTGAGGCAGGCGGGAGATTTGCAGTCAGCAAAGGACGGGCAGGTGGGGCAGCTGCACACCCAGGGCCCTCTCCACGGTCTTCCCGGGCCCACCCCTCCCGCGGTCCTGGGTCATCCACCTGCTGGCCTCACTCTGCCCACGCGGCCAGGTCCCACCGGCCCCTGAGCTCAACAGACCAAAGCTGGCCCGACCCCACCCCCAAGAAGAATGAAACAATTTTTTTTTACCTCTTGCAGAAAAGTAAAAGATCATTTATTCATTCTGTTTCTAGATAGCAAAACTAAGTGTCAAAAGCACCTTCTGCACACAGTCTGCACACACTGGCCGGTGGTCCTGTTCCCGCAAGGTTGAGCTGTGTTCCAGAGACATGGGTCCTCCGGGTGATGAGGAGCCGCTGGAGGGCCCTGAGCTGCACGTGCTAATGATTAACGCCCCGTCCGTGCTGGCCGGTTTCTCAAATGCCTCCTGACGATTGCGCACAGCCGGACATCATTTGTACTGAGAGACAAAAGGAAATCACTGAGGCTTTCTGAGGTGAGCTGGGCGGCCGCGGGGGGACTGGACTCACACCTGCTAACGGCCAGTCCACAGGACCTGCCCAGAGGCTCGGACACACAGCTGAAGTCACATCCCACGGGGAGCATCCTCACCAACTGACAATCAGCACGGGTTTGTAATTAAGGGTTTCTGCCCAGCCAATGAACGGCCTCCAGAAACAACCTTTGTGGAACCCCCTATAAAAGCCTTCCCAGCGCTTGCCTTCAGGACACTGCTCAGGGCTGACTCAGTGTACCCAAGCTGCAGTCTTTGTTTCCCAAATAAGCAGTCATTCATTCTACCTCCGTGTCAATCTTTTCTTCGTGAACACAGCTGGTGTCAGGAGCAGGGCTTAGCAAGATCTCTCCTTTGAGCGGCTTTCTCTGGAATCGGGTGAAGTCCCCACAACACAGAGGCCCCTGTGCGCGCCCCTTCTTTGGGGCCAGCACCTCCCTTCAACTGAGGCTGATACCTTTATTTGGGAATCTGGGGGCAGTTGCTGCCTCTGTGCCGGCAAAGGCTTTCAGCTTGGAGGACGTTTTCCCTGCTTACTGGAGATTTTCCCAATGGTGAGTATTATTATCTTAAGTATGGGACTCTGTGCGTCTAAACCTCGTAACAGTTGTGCCCCCTCTGGACTCCAGCCCCGTTTATCTGGAGCAATGGACCTTTTTACATTGGCCAAACTGGGGTTCCTTTGCTACACCAACCTAGGTTTTCTCTGAACTAAATTAGAAGAACTTGGTTCCAAAACAAGGGTCTTAGCATGTGGGAAGCCACAGAGCCCTAGGAAGGGGGCGTGCTCATGGAAAGATACTGAGCGCGAGGAGCGTTGGGTGCAGCTCCTCCAGAAGCGAGAGAACGGCCCGTGGCTATGTATTAAAATATACACGTCCAGATGGGGTGCTTGTTTTAATTGGCATTTGGAGGCATCTGGCTGGATGCCATCAGAACTCTAACATTGCCTCTCTCCAAAACACAGCGCCTGAACTCACAGAGGCTGATAAAGCACTGAAAGGTGGAGTCCTGGGCCCAGGGCTCCTCCTGCCCCTCGTTCGGGTTGTTCGTGAGTTTGGTGTGCTTTGGAAACAGACTTTTTAACCTCCAGAGGGAACCAAATTAAAAATGACACTTTTGTCAATAGTTTATTAAATTCAATTTGGCTTCCCTCTGGCCATAATCAAAATTTCTGGGTATTCAAAATTGGAGTCAGATGAGGCTAAAGAAAAACTTGGTTGATTCCACAGCAAAAGCCGCTGCCTTGAGTTTCACTGAGACCAAAAACCTTACAGCTAAGATAATTTTCCCAAAAAGGATGTAAATGATGTTATTAAAGACACTCTGTCCCCAGCACCCCATGAGCCAGTGTTACCAGAATCTATGAACACGTCAGACGACTCATTGGGCAACTAATGAACTTACACGTTTACAAAACAGTATTGGTGGGGAAATATTTCAAGGGCGGCCGAAGAGGCACAACTGCCTTGTGCTGTTTGTCCAAAATTCAACCCAGCAAAGACAATTCGGAGAGTCCCAGGTCATTCTGACCTGCCAAGTGGACCCTCTGAGGTTTGGCAAATGGACTTCATCCAGCCACTGCCTCTCAAGACTGTAAGTATGTCGTGATGATTTGCATGTTCTTCTCCTGGGTAGAAGCATTCCCTTCCTGATGTGCCGCTGCCTCAGATGCTGCAAACTCTACAAGAACAGATTCTCCCTAAGTGACAAGGGCATATCTTCACAGGTAGTGACAAGGAGCTCCACTGGCCAGGTCATAAAACAAATCTGTGAAGTCTGGTCCACATGACAGCACTGTCATTGTGCCTACCATCCCCAATCTTGCAGACTGGTGGAAAGCACAGATGGCATCAACTGGCAGAATTTCAGGAAGCACTAAAATTGCCCCGGCCAAAGGCACTTCCTCTGGTCCTTCTGAATCTAAGGTCTGCACCTTTTGGAAACTGCAAGTTGTCACCTTTTGAAATGATCACTGGAGGGCCAATGCATAGAGTCCCTTCTGCTTTTAATAGTCCACTGATGAAAGGAGACATGCTCCAGTATTGTAAAGGAATAATGAAGGCTGTCCACGCAAGTCATACCCTGGTCAGACAATCTTTACACAGTGTGTTCCCAGTTGATAAAGGCACCAGACATCACAACCTTCAGCCTGATCATTTTCTCTATTGGAAAAGACATTTACAAAAAGATTTCCTTCAACCTCAGTGAAGAGTCCACATCAGGTACTCCTTACCCATCCCTGTGCTGCCAAACTAAAAGGTGTTGACCCTTGGATTGAGGTTTCTCATTTAAAGAAACCTCTACCCCTGCTGGAATTCGGACAATCACCTGAAATGAAAACTGACCCAAAAGTGAAGCAGATGACAGTTGAGCTTGACTGAGGTCACGTCCCCAACGAGGGACATGACTCCCTGGGACAAGTCCCTCCCAGCAACAAGGGACATCATCACATTCACCAACTGATCTGTGACACTTTCTGGAGGAAGAACTTGGTCAAAAGGGGGAAATGTGAAAGAAAATGAAGTCACTAATGCTGAGGCTAAGTGGAACTGGGCGGCTGCGGGAGGCCTGCATTCACACGGCTGACGGCCAGTCCACAGGACGCGCCCGTAGACTTGGACCAACAGCTGAAGTCAGCCCCTGACGGCCTTCACATCTCCCAGCTGGGAGTGCCCTTAAGAACTAACCCATCAGAATGGGTTTCATTTAGGATTTCTGCCCAGCCAATGAACTACCTCCAAAACCCCTTTGTGGAAATCCCCTAAACAAATCTCTCCAGGCCGGGCGAGGTGGCTCACACCTATATTCCCAGCACTTTGGGAGGCTGAGGTGGGAGGATCACCTGAGGTCAGAAGTTCGAGACCAGCCTGGCCAACATGGTGAAACCTCATCTCTACTAAAAATACAAAAATTAGTCAGGGGTGGTGGTGCACACCTGTAGTCCCAGCTACTCAGGAGGCTGAGGCAGGAGAATCGCTTGAACCCAGGAGATGGAGGTTGCAGTGAGCTGAGATCACGCCACTGCACTCCAGCCTGGGCAACAGAGTGAGACTCCGTCTCAAAGAGAAAAACCAAAACTCTCGTGTTTGCTTTCTAGGACACTACTCAGGGCCACCGTGACTCAGCTTACCCAAATTACAATCCTTTGTTTCCCAAATAAATGCTTAATACTATTAAAAGTGAACAATGAAAAAGCAGATTCAAAACCTATTCAAATGGTTCTAACTCAATGTGTTAGTACAGTCACAGCTGCTTACTGAAAACACACACTTGGTCTACTTCAGGAAGACGTGTGGAGAAAGGGTGAAGGGTGAGCCACTGGGCCCAGCTCACCACACGACGGCCCCCTGTGCTTGTGTGCGCCCCAACTCACAGTGACAACACTCCGGCCATGCCTCTGCGTGTTGGCTTGGTGTCATCTGCATTGCACTGGAGTGAAACAGGGTCAGGCTGCCACCATTCACACAAACTTTAAAAATGAAACCTTTATCAAGGGAACATCTTTGGACTGTTTTTAAAACCTTTGGAACCATGACTTGGAGCTGGCAGAACAGGCTGTGGCTGTGGACTTCAGCACTACCAACAGTGCTGAAAACACTATGATTTACATCCATTCCAAGTTGCAAGTCCATCTTTTCTTCCTGCAACAAAAGACCATTAGCTTAAAAAAGGGAGCGGGTTCCATCATCCTTGCAGCAGCTAAGACAACCCCTTGGGGTCCACCTGGGCTCCCAGCCCCACCTTCCTGATGTTCAGACCCAGCAACTCCTTCCAGGGATACCGCAGGCACTCAGGTCCTCTTGTTAAATTAAATTTGGCCTAAAGCTGCCTCCATTCTTTGCATTTCTGCCTAGTGAATTGCAACCTAACGAAGCATGTAAACAAACTCAACCTAATAAGTCTATTTTGTAACAAGTAGCTGAGTCTGTCATAAGCTGCCAGTGGGTCAGACCACACCCACAGGTGGCAGACGCCCAGCCGTAGCCAATCAGGCTGTTTCCGTGTCTCACTTCCGTGTTCTGTCTGTAAGTGCTGCCTGCCCGTGCTGCTGAGTGGAGCTCGCTGAACCTCTCCCGGTTCTGAGTGCAATTCATGAACTGTTCTTTGTTCAAATAAACTCTAAAGTTTTTCTTTTTTTGAGACAGAGGAGTCTCACTCTGTTGCCCAGACGAGTGCAGTGGCACAATCTCAGCTCATGGCAACCTCCGCCTCCCGGATTCAAGTGATTCTCCTGCCCCAGCCTCCCAAGTAGCTGGGATTACACACATGCACCACCACGCCCACTAGGCTAATTTTTTTTTTATTTATTTTTTCTTTTTAGTAGAGACGGGATTTCACGTTGGCTGGGCTGGTCTCGAACTCCTGACCTAAAGCAATCCAACCGCCTTGACCTCCCAAAGTGCTGGGATTACAGGTGTGAGCCACCACGTCCAGCATAAAGTTTTTCAACACTCTTGACCATTGCGTCTCACCCGGACCACGCAACAGCCTCCTCACCAGCCTCCGGCTTCCAGGCTATTCCCTGCACAGTGGCCACATCACACCCTACGCTGCTCAGACCCTGCAGCGGCCCTCCTACGCACAGATCCTCCTGATGCATCAGTGGCCCAGCTGCTCCATCTGGGACACCAGCTTCTCTCCGCCTTGGCCGTATGAGCCCTGGGGGCCTCTGTATTCATTGTTCCCGGCCATTGCGAGTTATAGCCCCCCCAGCCTTCCTGAGCCCCTCCCAACCTCCCACCACCTCCAGGCTTTCTCCACGCGAGTTCTGCAGCATTTACCAGCACCTACCACACAATCTTCTCACTGGCTGGTCTTTTCCCACCACAATTAAACTCCCAAAGGCCATACTGCCATCTCCTATGTGCCTAAAAACCTGGCAGTTTTACACCTGAGGGATTCTTTCCCCAAAGAGGCCTCCCAGCAGTCTAATGAACAGAGGAGGGCTGGCTGCTGTTGATGACGAGGACTTACAGGGCCCCTTGAGCACACCCAGGCCACACTGGGGGCCCAGGGGCTCTGGCAGAAGTGGTGTCCTGATGTAGATGCCACAGCACTCGCAGGCCAGCAGGAGCGGCCCCTACCCTGTTCCTCCATGCCTGGTCACCATCCGCTTTCTGGGAGATCCGAAAAGGTTCTTCCACCTTCCGCTGTGTGGCAGGAAATGAGTCTAATGAGTCTACACTCCACAGCTACCAACTTCCATAAAGCAGTTTATTTTTCTTAAAAAGGAAGGTACATGGTCACAGTCCAAAATGTTTTATACAGCTCTCAGCCTGGAAAATGCAACTGATGAAAAAGGCACTGTTTCTAGAACAAATGGAAAAAGAATAAATATGTCATCATTTACCCTGCACAGCTTTGAGTAACACCATAGGACCCTGTCACACGTTCAGGGTCAATTTTAAAAGCTTGAGAAGACACAGCAAGGTGATGTCCTAGACTAGCCAGGCTCCGAAAGGAAGAGCTGTCTGTCCCTCCTAACTGTCCTCTCTCTGTCACAGGTGTCCATGTCACTGTTCCTCTAGCAGATGTGGAAAGTGGCTGCTCAGTGAGGACTCAGCCCCCACCAACCTGACTGAGGGTCACACGACACCATGGTGGAAAGTCACAAAGGGTAACGGGCCAAGAGGGTGAGGGGGGCTCCCTGACCCTGAGGACCCCTGAGGCACTGCTGCACCTTCCACGGATTCTGTGTCTAGCGTTGCCCTCTTTGCAGATGCCCCTCGTGGTGGTGGCACAAAGACCTAAAAATGATTTCTGTAAAATGGGTACAAGGAGCTCCCTGATAAAGCAGCTCATCCTAGACAGCCTTTTGGAGTTAGCGTAACTGTCCTTCCTCATTTCTAGTTCTCAATAGCGAATGGCAGACCTGGAGGCCCCATGTGCACCTGCCAGCCGGGGCGAGGGCAGGGACGGCCAGCCGGGCGAGGGCGGGGCAGTCGGGGTGAGGGTGGGGCGGGGCAGTCGGGGCGAGGGAGGGGTGGCCAGTGGGGGCGAGGGTGGGTGGCCAGCCGGGCCTGGTGTGAGGAGCAGAGCTGCAAGTTTCCTACAGACAATCCACTGAGTGCCCCAGAGACGTCACTGAAAAACTTCCCAGTGCTCTGACGTGCCAGCAGTAGGGCCTGAACTGTCATCCCTCCACGGGGCTCCCTGAGGCCTCAGGCCCTTTCCTTTGCAGCACCAGGTCTGCCTTGCACGCATCCCAGGAGGAAACACACAGGCAGCCTCCTGCTGCGCGGAGGGCAACGGAGAGATTCATGAGGCCCCTGGTCGCTCTGCAGACATTTAAAATGACGCTTCTCCTTGCACCAGCTCCCAGGGAAATGTCAGCCCGGGTCCACCTGACGGAGGGCAGCTCACCCGCCTGCATCTATCCTCAATGCACTTAAAATATGAAGACATGAAAGGTGGCTGGAAAGGCCAGAGCGGGAGCCTGACAAACACTCCTGCTTCTGGGTCACCACGCGGGCACTGCTGGCAACCGAGCTGTGGGTTCACAGACGCTGCCTGAAAACAACCGCCACCCCCGAGAGCAGCGGAGCCTCTTCATCAGCCATGGCGGCTGGCAACGCCGAGGACGGAGCCCAGCTCTAGAGGCGTGGGGCCTCTTCTGGGCCTGGGACCCTGCGAGGGACGGTCCTGTCCGCCCAGCTCCCGGCTGGCAGTAGACGGTGACTCCACGGCGACAGAACCTGCATCCACCCGCGCCTGTCGGGTCCGGGGAGCGGCCCTGGAGGATCCTCCTCAGTAGGTGATCTTCCAGTGGGTGGGTTGCTCACACGCCTTCTCTTGGTCTCCGCAGAACCTGTTGTACGTCGTCTTGGGGTCCAACCCCAGGATTTCTCTTTCCTCATGAATCCGAAAAGAAAATGTTGAGACTGAGGTGCCAATAAAAAACCTGCAAAGGATCACAGAGGTTCCAGAGTCAGGGAGAACTGGCGTCACAGAGGTTCCAGAGTCAGGGAGAACTGAGAGGAGCAGCTGAGTGAAATGAGTTCCACAGTTACATGGAACCAACACGGCCGTCCCCCGAGCACCCACCAGCCGGCCGCCCCCTTGCTGGCACCCCTCGCTCAGGTGCCCTCGACATCGGCGCCCTGAGGGGCTCTGCCTGGTGCTGCAGCCCCATCCACACCCCACAGTCAGCAGCCGCCACGCTCCTGTCCCACCGCATGTCCCCCTGGGAGCCCTCCTCTCCGTCACCAAATCCCAGGCCAGGCACGCCAGTGCAGGTCGAATACCTCCTGGGGGTCACATGGTGAACAATGAGAGATTCCTACTAACCACACACTGTCTAGCCAGGGCATGGCGGGTCCTTATCCTGAGGCACAGTAGACATCACGGAGGTCAAGGCCCCCTCCACACACACGCTGTATGGGCTGGTGGGGACACCCTTCTCCAGGGGTTTCTCCAGACCTCAGGTCAGCGGCCTGCCCGTTCCTCCGGCTCCTGCGCAGCTGGTCTCTGGCTCTCCAGCGGCACTTCATGAACTTCGTGAACAAGCAAACCCCAGAGATGTTTCCAGAGCAAATGTAACATGCACAGCGCTGTACACAGAGCCACAGGGCCAGCAGGCCACACAGGCCTGTATGCTGCTGCGGGGTGCAGCACTGGTGGGGAGACCCTCACCACCCCACACACAGGGGCCTGCCAGAGCAGGCCGCGCCGGCCCGGAGGCAGGGCAGCTTCAGTGAGCTGGGCCGAGCGCTTCGCGCAGCTGAGGGCAGGAGGCTGAGAGCTCAGTGCGAAGCCTCCCCACAGCAGGCTTCCTGGGCTGCGGAGACAGCACCGCCAAGGTCGCAGTCAAAATCCCAAGGCCACACCTGAGAAGCAGGGGTGAGTTCGTAACTGGGCTCCTGCACACCTCCGCCCTGACCTAAGAAGTCAGCGCTGCATCCTGTCTGCTTAACAGGGAAAGGGACCCACACCCAGCAGACAGCATCACCCGGAGCCTCTGTGGGTCTTACACACCATGCCCAGAACACCACAGGAAATAGCAGATGTGTGAAGAGGCACCGGCTCAGGGCGCTCAGCATTCCTCGGGCAGGAGAGAGACAGACTAACCCACAGAGACGCACGCGTGTGCACAGTGCTAACCACGGGGAAGATCATTCCCTCTACTTTCATTTTCCATTTAACTCAAACCGTTTCACCCTAACCCCAGCCTTCATCTCCTATGCAGATGGGCAGGCAGGTCTTTGGAGGAACAGAGGCCCAGGCGTACCTCCCACAGCAACCCCAGAGGAATGACTGCACGCAGGGCCCACGCTCCCGGCCTCTGGGACGCTCACGGCAGCCCCACGAGAATGATCACACGAGGGCCCACGCTCCCGGCCTCGGGGACGCTCACGGCAGCCCCACAAGAACGATCACACGAGGGCCCATGCTCCCAGCCTTGGGGACGCTCATGGCAGCCCCACGAGAATGATCACACGAGGGCCCACGCTCCCGGCCTCGGGGACGCTCACGGATGCTCAACAACACAGCAACAAGGACATGCCCAAGTCCAGGGCACGGGCAACTCTCAGGGCAGGGGGCAGACAGGGGCAGAAACCGGGAATGATGGGAAAATGCGACACAAGAAGAGGTTCTGAGACGAGGCCAGCTATGCCAACAGCCTGCTATGGAGGAATTCTGTGCATGAGAACTAAAGGGGCAAGATGAACAATTAACTTCAGCCCAGGGAAACACTGAACCAGATGCTACAGGAGACTCAGACGAGGAGGCAAACAGTATGGAAATGACCACTGTGAACACAGGCGACCATCTGCTCTGACACCGAGTACTTGGGACAGAAGAACCTTTGAAAGCCACCCGACCCGCTCTCGGCCGACAGTGACGTGGGCAGGCACCTGGCGTGTGCGCAGATCCACTGGTCAATAATCGCAACGCCTCCGTCCTTGTAGAGCTCCAGCTCCTCCCACGTGGGTTCAAACCTCACCATCTCGGGTAACAGCTTTTTTAGCTCTTCATATTCTGCAAAGTAGAAGGAGAGACCCTTTGAACCGGGATCCTCCAGTAAGGACAGATACGTGACTCTTTAGCAGACAGACATGCGTACTTGGCTTCTGGTTAATTCGTTAGGAACTGGCTCCAAAGGTGCAGACACACAACTCAGCTTTACCCTCCCAGGAATTACAGTTGAAGATCATGCAGATCTTCATGGATCTGGGTAGTTCCAGGTCTACCCAGAACAGAACCAGGGATCAAGAAGAAAGGAAAGAAACGTGCTCCCTCTCCCTCTCCTTCTCCCTCTCCCTCTCCCCACGGTCTCCCTCTCTTTCCACGGTCTCCCTCTCATGCGGAGCCAAAGCTGGACTGTGCTGCTGCCATCTCGGCTCACTGCAACCTCCCTGCCTGGTTCTCCTGCCTCAGCCTGCCGAGTGCCTGCGATTGCAGGCACGCGCCACCACGCCTGACTGGTTTTGGTGGAGACGGGGTTTCGCTGTGTTGGCCGGGCCGGTCTCCAGCCCCTAACCGCGAGTGATCCGCCAGCCTCGGCCTCCCGAGGTGCTGGGATTGCAGACGGAGTCTCGTTCACTCAGTGCTCGATGGTGCCCAGGCTGGAGTGCAGTGGCGTGATCTCGGCTCGCTACAACCTACACCTCCCAGCCGCCTGCCTTGGCCTCCCAAAGTGCCAAGATTGCAGCCTCTGCCCGGCCGCCACCCCATCTGGGAAGTGAGGAGTGTCTCTGCCTGGCCGCCCATCGTCTGGGATGTGAGGAGCCCCTCTGCCTGGCTGCCCAGTCTGGAAAGTGAGGAGCATCTCCGCCCGGCCGCCATCCCATCTAGGAAGTGAGGAGCACCTCTTTCCGGCCGCCATCACATCTAGGAAGTGAGGAGCGTCTCTGCCCAGCCGCCCATCGTCTGAGATGTGGGGAGCGCCTCTGCCCCGCCGCCCCATCTGGGATGTGAGGAGCGCCTCTGCCTGGCCACGACCCCGTCTGGGAGGTGAGGAGCGTCTCTGCCCGGCCGCCCCGTCTGAGAAGTGAGGAGCCTCTCCGCCCGGCAGCCACCCCATCTGGGAAGTGAGGAGCGTCTCCGCCCGGCAGCCACCCCGTCCGGGAGGGAGGTGGGGGGGTCAGCCCTCCGCCCGGCCAGCCGCCCCGTCCGGGAGGGAGGTGGGGGGGTCAGCACCCCGGGCGGCCAGCCGCCCCGTCCGGGAGGGAGGTGGGGGGGTCAGCCCCCCGCCTGGCCAGCCGCCCCGTCCGGGAGGTGAGGGGCGCCTCTGCCCGGCCGCCCCTACTGGGAAGCAAAGAGCCCCTCTGCCCGGCCAGCCGCCCCGTCTGGGAGGGAGGTGGGGGGGTCAGCCCCCCGCCTGGCCAGCCGCCCCGTCCGGGAGGTGAGGGGCGCCTCTGCCCGGCCGCCCCTACTGGGAAGTGAAGAGCCCCTCTGCCCGGCCAGCCGCCCCGTCTGGGAGGGAGGTGGGGGGGTCAGCCCCCCGCCCGGCCAGCCGCCCCGTCCGGGAGGTGAGGGGCGCCTCTGCCCGGCCGCCCCTACTGGGAAGTGAAGAGCCCCTCTGCCCGGCCACCACCCCGTCTGGGAGGGGTACCCAACAGCTCATTGAGAACAGGCCAGGATGACAATGGCGGCTTTGTGGAATAGAAAGGCGGGAAAGGTGGGGAAAAGATTGAGAAATCGGATGGTTGCCGTGTCTGTGTAGAAAGAAGTAGACATGGGAGACTTTTCATTTTGTTCTGCACTAAGAAAAATTCTTCTGCCTTGGGATCCTGTTGATCTGTGACCTTACCCCCAACCCTGTGCTCTCTGAAACATGTGCTGTGTCCACTCAGGGTTAAATGGATTAAGGGCGGTACAAGATGTGCTTTGTTAAACAGACGCTTGAAGGCAGCATGCTCGTTAAGAGTCATCACCAATCCCTAATCTCAAGTAATCAGGGACACAAACACTGCGGAAGGCCGCAGGGTCCTCTGCCTAGGAAAACCAGAGACCTTTGTTCACTTGTTTATCTGCTGACCTTCCCTCCACTATTGTTCCATGACCCTGCCAAAATCCCCGTCTGTGAGAAACACCCAAGAATTATCAATAAAAAAAATAAATTAAAAGAAAGGAAAGAAACGAAAGCATTGAAGCTCCATACCCTTTCTGACGGCATCTGTGGCCACAAACACCTTGTCCAGCCGGTGGGTCTTCATGAGGCTGCGGATCTTCCTCACGGCCCCTTCCAGACTGGGTACATCCTGTCTGTGACCCCAGATGAAATCTTTTCTTCTCAGGTGGACTCCCAGGTAGGGGCCCCCTAGCGCGGAGCCCAGCTTGACCTAGCAAAGAACCACAAGGAAATGCAGAAGCTGACAGGCGGGCTCGGGGCTCATCCTGGGCACCGGGTGGGACTCGAGACGCAGAGGGATGACCCTTTCCATGTGGCCTCCTCCACGGGGTGGCTCCAGGGCTGTCTAAGGGATTCAGGTGGAATCTCGGGGGCGACCAGATGTCTTTCTAAGAAGACAGTGAAGCAGTATTAATTACCAGAAATCATTTTATCTGAGGTAAAGAAAAATATTTAAAAAGAGAACAGCATGTGGAGGCTCACGCTGTGAACTTTTCCTCCGAGAACCACCGCAGGGACGTGCCACAAAGAGTTCACGGATCCTGTGGACAAAGCAGCTCACAGCTGCAAACTCCCCGGGAGCCAGAATGCTCTGCTGCCCTCTTGACAGTGCCACCTCCTGGCTGGAGGCCACCAACGCAAATGGCTACAGCAAATTCTAACCAACAACCCTGCTCCAAGGAAGGAGAAAGCAACAGCTAATCCCACCACCTGCAACCTCCTGGCTGTCCACAGGTCCCGAGTCTGTCCACGTGACAACTTCACTGCAGCATAACCAGCATTCGAGAAAGCCAGTGCACTCAACAAAACTACAACCAAGGACCCCCCCAGAGTCCACTTCACTCCCCCGCCACCTCCAGCAGAGCAGGTGCTGGAACCCATGGCTGGGAGACCCGAAGACGGATCACAGCACAGGACTCTCCGCAGACATTCCCCAGCAGCATCCCAGGGCCTGGTAGCCCCACTGGGTGGCTAGACCCAGAAGAGCAATAACAATCACTGCAGCCCAGCTCTCAGGGAGCCCCATCCCTAGGGGAAGGCGAAGAGCGCCACAGAGCACCCCGTGGGATAAAAGAATCTGAACAGTAGCCCGTGAGTTCCAGATCTTTCCACTGAAGTAGTCTGCCCAAATGAGAAGCAGGCAGAAAAGCAATTGTGATAATATGACAAAACAAGGTTCTATAGTACCCCCAAAAGATCATAGTAGCTCCCCAGCAATGGATCCAAACCAGGAAGAAATCTCTCAATTGCCAGATAAAGAATTCCGAAGGTTCATTATTAAGCTACTCAAGGACATACCAGACAAAGGTGAAAACCAACTTAAAGAAATTAAAAAAAAAACAACAACAACAATATGGATGAAAAATGCTCCAGATAACTAGGTATCTTAAAGGAAAAACAATTGCAACTTCTGGAAATGAAAGACACACTTAAAGAAACGAAATACACTGGAAAGTTTCAATAATAGACTAGAACAGGAGAAGAAAGAGCTTCAGAGCTCGAAGACAAGGTTTTCAAATTAGCCCAATCCAACAAACAAGAAAAAAGAATAGTAAAAAAAATGAACAAAGCCTCCAAGAAATTTGGAATTATGTTAAACAACCAAACCTAAGGATAATTGGTGTTCCTGAGGAAGAAGAGTAATCTAAAAGTTTGGAAAACTTATTTGAGGGAATAATTGAGGAAAACTTACCTGGTCTTGCTAGAGATCTAGACATCCAAATACAGGAAGCTCAAAGAATACCTGGGCAATTCATCACAAAAAGATCATCTCCTAGGCACACAGTCATCAGGTTATCTAAAGTCAAGATGAAGGAAAGAATCTTAAGAGCTGTGAGCCAAAAGCACCAGGTAACCTATAAAGGAAAACCTATCAGATTCACAGCAGATTTCTCAGCAGAAACCTACAAGCTACAAGGGACTGGGGTCCTATCTTCAGCCTCCACAAACAAAGTAATTATCAGCCAAGAATTTTATATCCAGCAAAACTAAGCTTCATAAATGAAGGAGAGATCATCTTTTTCAGACAAACAAATGCTGAGAGAATTCACCACTCCCAAAGCCAGCTCTACAAGAAATGTTAAAGAAGTTCTAAATCTTGAAACAAAACCTCAAAATACGCCAAAATAGAACCTTCTTAAAGCATAAATCTCACAGGGCATATAAAACAACGCAATGAAAAAGAAAGAAAACAGAGTATTCAGGCAGCAACTAGTATGATGAATAGAATACAGTACCTCACACCTCAATACCAAAGTTGAATGTAAATGGCTTAGAGACTCCACTTAAGAGAAACAGAATGGCAGAATGGAAAAAAATCCACCTGAAAGCTGTGAGGCAAAAGTCTTCAAGAGACTGACCTAACACATAAGGACTCACACAAACTTAAGGTAAAGGGGTGGAAAAAGATACTCCATGCAAATGGACACCAAAAGCGAGTACAGTAGTATTCTTATATCAGACAAAACAGACTTTAAAGCAACAACAGTTAAAAAAGATGGAGGAACATTATATAATGATAAAAGGATCAGTCCAACGGGAGAATGCCACAATCCTAATTATACATGCACCTAACACTGGAGCTACCAAATTTATAAAACAATTACTACTAGACCTAAAAAATGAGATAGACAGCAATACAACATAAGTGGGGACTTCAATACTCCACTGACAGCACTGGACAGGTCATCAAGACAGAAAGCCAACAAAGAAACAATAGACTCAAACTATACCCTGGAACAAGTGGACTAAAATATTTACAGAACATTCTACGCAACAGCTGCAGAATATACATTCTGTTCGTAAGCATATGGAACGTTATCCAAGATAAACCATATGATTGGCCACAAAACAAGCCTCAATAAATTTAAGAAAATCAAAATTATGTCAAGTACCCTCTCAGACCACAGTGGAGTAAAACTGGAAATTAAATCCAAAAGGAACCCTCAAAACTATACAAACACATGGAAATTAAATAATCTGCTCCTGATCTTTGGGTCAACAATGAAATTAAGATGGAAATTTAAAAATTCTTTGAACTGAACAATAACACTGACATAACTTATCAAAACCCCTGGGACACAGCAAAAGTGGTGCCAAGAGGAAAATTCACAGCATTAAATGCTTACATCAAAAAATCTGAAAGAGCACAGACAATCTAAGGTCATACCTCAAGGAATGAGAGAAACAAGGACAAACCCAAACCCAGCAGAAGAAAACCACCAAGATGAGAGCAGAACTAAATGAAATTGAAATGAACAGACAAAAAAATACAAAAGTTAAATGAAACAATAAGCTGGTTCTCTGAAAAGATAAACAACATTGATAGACCATTAGTGAGATTAATGAAGAAGAGAGAAGATCCAAATAAGGTCAATTAGAAACAAAACGGGAGATATTACAGTCGATACCATAGAAACACAAAATAATCATCCAAGGCTACTATGAACACTTTTATGCGCACAAACTGGAAAATCAAGAGGATAAATTCCTGGAAATACACAACCCTTCTAGATATAGACCAGGAAGAAATATAAACTCTGAACAGACCAATAACAAGTAGTGAGATTGAGACAGTAATTTAAAAATTGCCAACAAAAAAAGTCCAGGACCCAATGAATTCACAGCTGAAATCAGACACTGAAAGAAGAAGTGGTATCAATTCTACTGAAACTATTCCAAAAGACAGAGAAAGAGGGAATCCTCCATAAATCAACAGACCAATATCCCTGATGAACATAGATGCAAAAATCCTTAACAAAATACTAGCTAACCGAATCCAACAACATATCAAAAAGATAACACAACATGATCAAATGGGTATCATACCAGGGATGCAGGGATGGTTTAACATATCCAAGTCAACAAATGTGACACACCACCTAAACAGCACTAAAAACAAAAATCATATGATCATTTCAATAGATGCAGAAGAGGCATTTGACAAAATCCGGCATTGCTTTAAGATTAAAACCCTCAGCAAAGGTGGCATAGAAGGGACATACCTCAAGATAATAAAAGTCATCTATGACAAATCCAAAGCCAACATTATACTGACGGGGGAAAAGTTGAAAGCATTCACCCTGAGAACTGGAGCAAGACAAGGATGCCCACTCTCACCACTTCTATTCAACATAGTACTAGAAGTCCTAGTCAGGGCAATCAGACAAGAGAAAGAAATAAACGGCATCCAAATCAGTAAAGAGGAAGTCAAACTGTCACTGTTCACTGATGATATAATTGTATACCTAGGAAACCCTAAAGACTCATCCAAAAAGCTCCCAGATCTGATAAATGAATTCAGTAAAGTTTCAGGACACAAAATCAATGTACACAACTCAGTAGCACTGCTACACACCAACAACAACCAAGCTGAGAATCAAACCAAGAACTCAACTCCTTTTACAACAGCTGCAAACAAACAAACAAACAAAAACAACCAAAAAAACCCACAAAACTTGATCTCTACAAGGAAAATTACAAAACACTGCTGAAAGAATTCATAGACAACAAAAACTAATGGAAATACATCCCATGCTCATGGATGGGTAGAATCAATATTGTGAAAATGACCATACTACAAAAGCAATCTATCAGTGCAATTCCCATCAAAATGCCATCATCATTCTTCACAGAACTAGAAAAAACAAAAACCTAAAATTCATATGGAACCAAAACAGAGCCTACATAGCCAAAGCAAAACTACTAAGCAAAAAGTACAAATCTGGAAGTACACAATACTCAACTTCAAACTATCCTACAAGGCTATAGTTACCAAAACAGCATGGTACCGCTATAAAAATAGGTACCTAGACCAGTGGAGCAGAAGAGAACCCAGAAATAAAGCCAAATACTTACAGCCAACTGATCTTCGACAAAGCAAACAAAAACATAAAGTGGGGAAAGGACATTCTATTCAAAAATGGTGTGGGGATATTGGCAGCCCACATGTAGAAGAATGAAACTGGATCATCAACTCAAGGTGGATTAAAGACTTAAATCTAAGACCTGAAATCATAAAAATTCTAGACGATAACATCAGAAAAACTCTTCTAGACACTGGCTTAGGCAAAGAGTTCCTGACCAAGAACCCAAAGCAAATGCAACAAAAACAAACATTAATAGATAGGGCATAATTAAACTAAAAAGCTTCTGCACGGCAAAAGAAACAATCAGCGAACAGCTCCCAGAGTGGGAGGAAATACTTGCACACTTTGCATCCGACCAAGGACTAATATCCAGAATCTACAAGGAAATGAAACAGATCAGCATGAAAAAACAAATAATCCCATCAAAACATAGGCTAGGGACAGGAATAGACAATTCTCAAGATACACAAATGGCCAACAAACGTATGAAAAAATGCTTAACTTCACTAATGATCAGGGAAATGCAAATGAAAACCACAACAGGATACTACCTTACTCCTGCAAGAATGGCCATAATTTAAAAACCCAAAAATAATGGATGTCGGCACGGATGCAGTGAAAGGGATACTGCGACACTCCTGGTGGGAATGTCAACTAGTACAACCATTGTGGAAAACAGTGTGGAGATTCCTTAAAGAGCTAAAAGTAGAACTACCATTTGATCCAGCAATCCCACTGCTGGGTATCTACCCAGAGGAAAAGAAGCCACTATATGAAAAAGACACTTGCATATGCATGTTTATAGCAGCACAATCCACAGCTGCAAAAACATGGAACCGGCCTGAATGCCCATTGACCAATGAGTGGATAAAGAAAATGTGGTACATCAGCCATAACAAGGAACGAAATGAATGCATTTGCAGCAACCTGGATGGAGCTGGAGACCATTATTCTAAGTGAAGTAACTCAGGAATGGAAAACCAAATATTGTATGTTCTCACGGGAACTAAGCTATGAGGATGTAAAGGCATAAGAATGACACAATGGACTTTGGGGACTCGAGGGGAAGAGTGGAGGGGGTGAGGGATAAAAGACTACACATTGGGGACAGTGTACACTGCTCGGGTGATGGGTGTACCAAAATCTCAGAAACTACCACTTTATCCATGTAACCAAACACCACCTGCTCCCCAAAAATGATTAAGGCTAAAAAAAAAAAATGATAAAATAAGCCAGGCACAGTGGCTCACGCCTGTAATCCCAGCACTCTGGGAGGCCAAGGCGGGTGGATTACTTGAGGTCAGGAGTTTGAGACCAGCCTGGCCAACATGGGAAAATCCTGTCTGTACTCAAAATACAAAAATTAGCCGGGTGCGGTGGCACGCGCCTGTGATCCCAGCTACTCGGGAGGCTGAGGCAGGAGAATTGCTTGAACCCGGGAGGCAGAGGTTGCAGTGAGCTGAGATCGTGTCACTGCACTCCGGCCTGGGCGACAGAGTGAGACTCTGTCTCAAAACGAAAACAAAAACAAATTAATTAAATAAAATTAAAAATAAAATTAAAAAGAATAAAAAAAAAACACTGAAAAGAAACACAAGTGGGATAAAAATGAAAAAAAATCTTCTATATTTTTTCCCCAGTAAAAACTGTCCAAGTAACTTAATTATTGCTGGAACAATGAATGCTATTCCACTTGGAAATAGCTCAAATACCCCATAAAGAACAAGCGAGTAAAATGGCACTTCTATGAAAGTTTTGTTTAAAAAACGCTAAAAACAGACACTGAAAATGCTTAAAAACAATATCAAGTTGAAAAAGCAACACATTTGTTGAAATTACATCACAGAAAAACTCAAACTTTCAGAAAACACTTAAAAATATATACAAAGAATAAGAAAAGGATGATTCTAGACCAAAACAGCACTGATGGTGCTTTTGGGTGAGTCCAGGTGAACGCTGCTTTTTTCTCTTTATCAATCAAGTCAAGAGGGAAAAAGGCCGAACGTGCCTCTGACCACCTCGAGCTCCTGCTTCCGCGCTCCTGGCCTTGCCGCGCTCTGAGAACACCTTTGAGTCCGCTGGGCCTGCCATGACTGCCCGTGTTACTAAAGGTAAAGCCAGGCCGAGTGACTCCCTGAGTCTGCACATGACGAGGGCCCCAGGGTCCCGGCGCCTCCCGAGAGCAGGTCATTACTGTGACTCACATTCCAGAGAGGCGCCGAGGCATCCACGCCCACAGACACGCCAACCCTGCTGTGACTTTACATGGAAGGCCTGAGTGTGGGGCATCTCCAGAGAGACTTTACCTTTTCTCTAATTAACAAAAGGGAGGGGGGCTACCTTCATCTTCATCCAGTCCTCCTGGAAGGGGATCCTGTCTGCGTCGTCCGTGGAGTTGAGATGTCTGCTCCTGAACTCGTCTCCCACCTCCCGCAGGTGCCTGGCAAACACCATGCTGCGACGGGTCTGTGGAAACGGCGACGGCTCGGCTGAGAACACGCCCGCCCGCCACGCAGCCCTCCCGGAGCGGGTTCTCCTGTCGCTGCCACCACCCACCCCCGCAGCTGGAACAAGCCCCTCAGACACGTCATCCACGGTCGCCTGAGAAGCAGCGCCATCCACGGTGGAGGCTCTTGGAGGGTCTCCTGCATGAAGCCAACGCAGGGCAAGCCGCCCACCCCTGCCGGCTCTGCCAGCCCCTGCCGTGGGAAGCTGCGGCACACACTGGGCTCAGCTGGCCGTTGCCCCTGGCTGGCACAACTGTGTGCAGCTCCTTCCCCTCAGTCTCTCCCCAACTCGACTTCTAGCTTAGGCGGTTAGCACATCCTGCTTTGCCAAACGGGGTGGGACTGACCTGCACAAAGTCCCACGTGAGCAGGGACTGTGTCTCCTGCAGGCAGGTTCCGGCTTTACAAGCTGCTGCCCTGGTGAACACGTCAGCAGGCCTGCTGTGTCCACGGGAGGGGGCAGCCACTTCCCGCCCTCTGCTCCCACTCACTCACAGAACCAGGGGTGGCTATGGGAAGTCACCCCATCAATGCGGAAATCAACGCCAACGGAAAAGACCCGCTGCAGAGAATAGTCCCACCTTTCAAAGCTAAAGAGAGGAGAAAGGAGGGGTCTACGTTCCAGCCACTGACGGAGTCACTGACTCCGGGGCTGACTCCAGGGCGCTGCCACCGCATTCAGGGCCTGTGGCATCAGAGGGGAGAGCTGGGTGGCCCTGCGGGCTCCCGAGGACCTGGCTCTGCAGCCACGTGAGGCTTGGGGGTGGCACAGTCACCGCAGTTGCCCAAATCCATGGCTTAAAATGATGGTTTTAATCAGCAAGGTTCAAAAAGAGCTGTCGACTGTTTTAAATTTTCAAAAGCTAAATAATGGGCAACATACACTAACTGAGAAAAACGCTCCCGAGGAAACACTCACATCCCAGTATTCTTTCCCTCCATAGTGGTCGTGAAGTAGGTTCTCGGCTCTGTCTAACATCACGGACCTGTTTTTAAACAACAGAAGAATAAACAGTTATAAGAGTTAAGGATGATGACATTCACACTCTCAGAGCACAAACTGGGAGAACCCCGGGCCGAGGAAGCAGAGACCAAGTCTCCGAGGGACACTAACCAGGGCGCGTTGGGTGGTTATGGCTGAGACACAGGCAGGCTGCTGTCTGGCCTCCACACCACGGTTCTGAGAGGGCTTTAATGCCTACTGTCAACGAACAGAATGACATCAGAGAAAAGTATCTCCTAATTTGAGGAGTGTATTTGACAGTGGGCAAAAGGCTTGGAATCCAGGATCCACCGACGGCTATGGCAAGCTGCAGGCGTGCCTGAGGAGGGGAGGGTGGGGGAAGGTTTTCTTTGACAAAAAGGAGAGGTTCACATAAGCTGCCTGGAAACAAATTCACTGACTCGAGCTCAAAGCCGGAGCTGCATCTGTTCCGTGGTAGAGACGCCATTCCTGGGCAGGCATTCTTTCCACAGCGTCTCGTCCGAATTACTGCAACCCTTGTCCGGTGGCAAACCTAGTCCCAGGAACACGGGCACACGACTGAAGCAGCGGCTGTGAAAGGTGAGGTGCGTGAAGCACGTGAGGAACGTCCTGGGGTTATTTCAGAGAGCCCTCCAGCTGGCCTTTATCTCAGACTCGCAGGCAGGTGCCTCCTCCTCAGTGCCTTCCTTGCTCCAGTTTGGGTCTGACAAGTCATCCTGGTGCCTGTGACTGTCACGTTACCTAATTCCACGTGGGAAGTGCCTCTCCTATTCCAGCCATTGAGCCAACCGTCTCACCAAACTCCCCCCAGGGCTCTTGATGCAAAATAAAAACGAAACACACAAAATGGACCGTGAGCAAATAGACCTGAATATTGGGGTGGTAAAGGCTGGAATACAAAAACGCAGAAATTTTTAAGGAAAAATAAAAATTTTAATTTTGGCCAGGCGCAGTGGCTCACGCCTCTAATCCCAGCACTTTGGGAGGCCAAGGTGGGCGGATCACGAGGTCAGGAGATCGAGACCATCCTGGCTAAGACGGTGAAACCCCGTCTCTACTAAAAATACAAAAAAATTAGCCGGGCGCGGTGGTGCATGCCACAAGTAGCCCCAGCTACTTGGGAGGCTGAGACAGGAGAATCGCTTGAACCCAGGAGACTGAGGTTGCAGTGAGCCGAGATCGCGCCACTGCACTCCAGCCTGGGCAACAGAGCAAGACTCAGTCTCAAAAAAAATACAAAAAACAAACAAACAAAAAAATGTAATCTCTACAGAGAAAAAATGAGCAACATATCTAAGTTGGCATTTTATAGAATAACATTTCAAAAGGCTTTTAAAGTGTAGTTTTACTCTGAAATCAAAGAAACACACACGAACAGAGCAAGGATTCCACATTTTGCTACTGGATCCACACAGATGGAAGCTCTCGGCCCTCGTGGCTGCCTGGGAACCAGCCGTGCACGGCCACTGCGGGGACTCTGAGGACTGCACCAAGGGCACACCCAGCCATCCTCTTCTGGGTGGCATCCTACAGTTTTACGCCCTCATGGTTCACACAAAGACTCTTCTACAGAAACCTGGAAACAACCAAAAGCCACATTTTCTTCCATCTGTACACAGACAACTGCAAAAGAACGAGGTGATGTCCATGTGTCGTAATACCCAGGTGAATGGCTGGGTGGGAAGAAAGGGCAAACTGAAAACCGCATGGAGAGGGCACGTGTGGTGATTCCACGTGTGTTTCAAAAGATGGCTGCATGCACAGGCGGCCATGTGAGGCGATTTCTGGAGAGATGGGTGTAGCTGGATTCAGTGGGTGCCTCCGGCCCTGCTTCTAATGCCGTTTTAAGGGCTTTTTATGAAATGCAATACTGCACTTCAAGACGCACATTCCACACGGGCGCGGGTAGAGGACATTCCGCACGGGCACAGGTAGACAAACTGCTCCAAAATGAACACGGTGCAGCCCCCACCCGGGTGGAGGAACAAGGAGGAAGAAAGCGCTTCACACACTTGCTCTGCCCCGTCCTCAGGGGCCTCCCCGGCATCCTCCCATCTCTCCCTCCGATGCACGGGACTGTCTTTGACCTTCATGCACATGGAACATGACTACATTTATCTTTTTCTTTTTTTTTACTGGGCATTATATCTTGATTTCTCTTTGTTGAACACGGCAGCAGGTTGCCCATCTTCAGCTGTGGATCTACCACACTCTATCCAGTGCGTGGCTGAGGGGTGCACGTGTTTTCCTGGTCCGGGGAGGCTATGAACGTTCCTGGGCAGGGGTCTGCGGGTGCATGTCCCGCATTCAGGGTGCACTGGGTTCCCAGGGTTTTACCAGATTCTTGCTCCAGGAGCAGCCTTTGAGCCCCTGCAGGCCTGTCCTCCCGACAGCGGTTGGTTTCCCGAGCATGACAGCAATGGGGGCACCTGCTCGCATTAACAGCAGCTGTCCTTACTCCTGAATCGCATGGATCCTGTGTTGGACTCACCTCACCCCAGGCTGCCCGTCCCTCACTCGCTGAGTTTCGTCTCAATTGCACGGATCCCGTCTTGGACTCGCCTCACCCCAGGCTGCCTGTCCCTCACTCGCTGGGTTTCGTCTCAATTGCACGGATCCCGTCTTGGACTCGCCTCACCCCAGGCTGCCCGTCCCTCACTCGCTGAGTTTCGTCTCCTGTATCCCAGAGAGTCCTTAGTTTATCAAATGTGCTGCAGGACCTCCCTCTCTGAGGCCTGTCTCCATTTTTCTAATGGACAAAAGTTCTTGATTTTAAAGTAACTGGCTTTACCAATCTTTCTTTTTTGGTCCATGCTTTTCCCATCTTGTTGAAGAAAGCTTTCTGCCCCACGGTGGTGAGGCTCCTCTCCTGACGGCTTGATAGCTTCACCTTCCCATTAGGGCTTTAACCCCCGGAAGAGACTTTCCCTGGGTGCTGGGGGCAGATGACCTCACCGCCCATCATCAGCCTCCTTTTCCACTGCGCCTTTTCCCCCTGCTCCCCGGCAGAAGCGTTTCTCCTAAATCAGGACCATCTAGTTGGAAGCCCCCTCTGGGCTCAGCTCCATTCTAACCTGTAAATGTGAGTCAAAAAAACTGACTGGCAAGACTGTTCCACAGGCCCCAAACGTAGGCAGACTGGCTTCCAAAACCCGAATATTGTCATGAAATGAACCCAGTCCCAGGACAACATTAAAGCTGCATCTCAACAACCAAAACAATTCAGCCTAGCTCCCTCCACAACCTCTGAGTTCTGTCTGCAACAGCCGGGCTGGCTGAGCAGCAGACACGCGGGCCTGTGATGGAGCCACCTGCCTTCACAAAGGCCCAGAGCAGCTGAGACCATGTGGTCCCGGCCCGCTGGGGCCAGCGGCAGCTGTTACTGACCAGGGTGATACCGAGCCAGCTGTGATGTGCAACAGGATCGTGGCTGATGGCCTCTAGAGGCACACACAGGGCACGACAGCAGACAAGGCAGCCTCAACGTGGGCAAGTGCGAGGGGCACCCGTGCCCTGCTATGCCTGGTCTATGGGAGACGCTCACAGTGCCTGCTGGGGGATTCAGAAGACCCAAGGGAGGTGACGGAGAGGGTCCCAGTCTGCAGCAAGTTCTAAGAACGTGGCCATCAACAATTCCCTCCAGAGTTTACGACATCATCAGGTACTGACTTGTCTGCAACCCCAGCCTCCTGGGTGGACCCTCGAGGCCCAGCTCACCAGGCCGGCGACCACTTGAGGCAGACGCATGGCCAAAGGTGGCTGCATGATCCTCCCCAGACCCGTGAGGCAGAAAACAGATCAAACAGTGGGTGTTGGGTGTGGGGAGGGGGGAGGTACTGGTAAAAGCTGCCCAAGTGCTACAAATCGAGAACAGTCTCATGGTGAGCTCCCCGCCGCCCCCAGCCCAGCTCAGCCCCTCCCTGTGCACCTGGCCGGGCCGAGCCCTCACCTCTGTGCCCCTCACCCGCTGTCCACGTCACCCACTGCACCCACTGGGCTGTTTCGCAGAGACACATGCAAGCACTTCCCTAACCACCACCCCCCAGGGCCCCCAGGGTCCGCTGTCTGTGAGGTGGGTGGGCCAGGGATGCGGGAGTATGGGCGGAGAGCCCCCAGCCCAGCATGCACGGAGCAGACGCCACAGCCTCCAGGCTGCTCCCGGGGGGCCTGGGGCACTCACCGGGCTGATGTGTTTCTCAGCAGCAGGGGCGCCACGATGGAGGCTGAGCCCTGGACGGACAGACAGGAGACGTTTAGACCCCTGGTCTCCTCATAACCCCAAAACCATCCTCTGGAAAACAAAACCCACAGCAGCTCTATCAGTTTATTTTGCTTTCACAAGGAAAACAAATCAAGTCTAGACACGCACACACTGTGGCTTGCTCCTGATGAAACGCGGCTGCTTTAGGAAAACTTACTGATCGTGACTGCAGATCGTGACATTCTAGTAAAATTTTAAAAGAAGCCCATGAGTGTCTCTCAGGCTGATGGACCACTGAGGCTTTCCCCATGATAGGGGCTGGCGGGATGGCCGGGGAGGCAGAGGGAGCCGGACAGAGGCAGCCCTGTGCACCTTCAGGGCCAGCCTGGCTGTGACCGTCAGCCAAGTCAACCGCGCCCTTCCCAAGAGCTCACCTGCCATGCTTTAGAGCCAGCTGCCCTGGCACTGGACACATGGAGGCTGTTAACTGACAGCTTTTCCACAGGAGGCCTGGTAGTGTCAGAGCCTTTAATGGCAATCGACACTTGGGACTGACAAGACCTCCATCCCTGTGGCAACATCCAAATGCATGAAAAGACACAGGGAAAGAGGCACGGGGTCTCAGCCAGATGTTCATCACGGCCCATTCTCCAGGCCTCAGCACAAAGGGGAACCGCCTGTCAAGGACGAGGAACGGTGTGGGCAGCCACAAGCGCTACCACCACAAGGGCCGCCGCAACACTGTCAGGATGCCCAGGAGGGGACGCCCAGAACCCTGCATCAGCAACCAGCATGGGCAGCGAGGGCACTGCGGGGGAGGCGGTTGCGGCCGGGGGGAGTGGGGGGTGAAGACACCGTGGCGGGGGGAGGCGGGGTGCTGCAGGGGGGGCGGGGGGCACCCACGGTGGTGGGGAGGAGTGGGCGGGGGGCGCCTGAGGCGGGGGGGGGGGGACGCATGCGGCAGGGGGAGGTGGGGGGGCACCTGCGGCAGGGGGAGCAGCCTCAGCAGGCACCTGTAGTACTCGTGCTTGTCCTGGGAGTACAGGAGCTGATCAATACACGGCCGCTCGTCCACCTTCTCTTCCCAGGTCCCTTCTTTCCACCCCTCTGCGTAACTTTGCAGGACGTAAACCTGGTCAATAAAGGGCCCACCAGATTCTGAAAGACACCAAGAAAAGCCAGGCAGTGTGACAGCGATCAGAAGCTCACTTACGGGCATGCATCAGTCACCAGCAGCTGACTCTTACTACTGTACACCACCCTATTCCCAAAGGGAGTGTAGGAGGCTCACAAAAGCAGAGACAGGGCAGAGCACATGCCATGAGGGCACAGGGCCATCAGCGTGCAACTGCAGCTGGCGGGGGGTGGTGTGGAGCTGGTACCCGATTCCCCGGCCCTACCCCTGCCTGGCTGCAGCAGGCCCCATCCTCACAGGGGCCCGTGTGAGCCCATCCGGCCCTCACGCCGTGGTCCAGGCTGTTCCCTGCCAGGACCACTCCCCTTGGGGGCTCGCCCTCCGGCCCTCTGTGAGGCCACTGTCCCCTACCCCCCTGGTTTCCCACAGCGCTCCTCACCCCCTCGGCCACCATCTACTGCACTGGTGTCCTGCCTCCCCCGGGGACAGAGGCTCAGGTGAGCAGGAGTCGTGCCTCTTACCCACGGCCCGACCCGCACCAAGAAGGTGGCACTGTGACGCCCAAGAGGTCAGCAATTAAGATCTGCTCAAAGGCAGCAGGAATAAAGCGGGAGGGAGCACCGCGCAGGTGAAGTTCTGGGGCAGGAACAAAGCGGGAGGGAGCACCGCGCAGGTGAAATTCTGGGGCAGGAACAAAGCGGGAGGGAGCATCGCGCAGGTGAAGTTCTGGGGCAGGAACAAAGCGGGAGGGAGCATCGCGAAGGTGAAGTTCTGGTATCCTTTTTGCTCACTCATGACTGGGGGCTAAGGGCTGCGTGGCCTAAGGGCCTGAGGCCACAGCTGCGGGGGCTTCTTTTAGGCTAGTGGGAGGTGGTGAAGATCCTGCACGCTGGGCGCTATGTCAGCCACATCAGGAGCTCACCGTGTGCAGTCTCTTGGCAGCCTCGCCCTAGGACAGGCACCCAGTTCCTTCCCCACCTCACAGGCGAGGAAACAGCTCAGCAAAGCCCCAGGCTGGTGGATGGCAGGTAAGCGTGAGACCAGCATATGTGCCTCAGAAGCTCATTACACAGCATCTGTCTTCCCAGACCTTCCCAAGCACTTGGATGCCCAAGGCCCAGACCTGTCCGCTTCCCTGTCAGGAAACCCACTGGTACCAAAGGGAGGTAAGGATAGCATCTCTGGGTTCCTATAACCCAATGTTCAGACCGAGGGCTGGCTGCTAGTTAGACCCAATACCCAACCACAGCTTTCATCTTCCAGGACTCACAAGCAAATTTTAAAGTCAACTCAGGAAAGGACGCACTCCAGGAATGCTTTTTACAAGCAGCAGACTTTCTGACTTGGTATCAACAAGGATGTTGGAGGTTACCGCCTGTTGTTGCATGCCCCTAGCACTCACAAGACTGACCTTGACACAGAAAACATTTCAGAGTGACAAGATCTAGGGTGCAACGAGAACCACATCCTTGAAAAATGATGACACGGGAGCCACACTCCTTGGCAGGGAGCAAAGGTCTCTAAGCCCCGAGAGTGGCTGTCGAGTAAGAACTCAACAGATGCTGGAAAGCAGGAGCCTGACTCAAAACTAACTCATTCGTCTTCAAGGCCTCTCAAGTGCAGCAGCAAAGCATCACTTACCTTTATCTCTTCCAAACAACGCAACACAAAAAGCTCTAAATACCTTCATTCTAAGAAGAGCTTTAATTCTTCTCTTAAAATTAACTGAAAAGATTAAGCAACACAAAATTAAACGAGACAGACCTTTATCCCTGGCGCTGCACTGAGACACCACGAAGCATACTCCACACGCAGTGCGTCTTCCTGAACGTAAAACAGCCTTTCGCACAGGGAGCCGAGTCCTGTCACTATAACACCCAGGGGTGGCCGCTTTCTTAGGGTGTAAGGGCGGCTCTAACTGAGGGGGCACAAAGCTCATCCACTTCAGGTCCATTTCCGAGAAACATTTTGGGAAGCTCACTGCAGCGTGGGAAAGGGACTGTGCTCCTGAACGGAGGAGGTGCTGCCACAGGCCTCAGGCAGCAGCACTGGGCACTGGAGGATGCTGGTGAGGCTGGATGCAATCGTAAGCCCAACCTGATGTCTACCTTAGAAATGACTGCCTGGCCCCAGTTAAGCAACCACGGCCTCCCAGCGTGCCGCTCGGCCTCACCTGCGATGAACTGCTCATACTCGATGACGGGGATGTTTTTATTGAGACTTGGAAGATCAAAAAACTCAGACCAGGGAATCCGGACCTGGTGGATGTCAGGACTCTGCCAGTGATAGAGGCGGCCCCATGGAGGCAGGACAAGCACCCACTCCTCCGTCTTCAGCAGAGTCTTCAGGAGAGAGGCGATTCGGATATAGACATCCCTGCGCAGGTTGAAGCCTTCCGGGGGGTTGACGTCATACAGAAGATACCTGAGCAGGGAGAAGGAGGACCACAGGTCTCAAATGCTGAGGTTTCTGCACGGAAAACCCGACTGCTCACAAGTCTCAGCGCGTGGCCCGACTCTAGGCACTTAACAATGGTTCCTAGTTTGTGAAGGCAGTGAGTGGCCTGTTTCTCTATGACCAGTTACTTACGGAGCCTGTAAGCAGAAGCAGCAGACATGCTAACATCGTTTTAACAATTAGCAATAGTTCAACACTAAGGCAGAGGAATCCCAGTGACTGGAACCCAAGAATCAGTACCCACATGGTTCTCAAACTGTTTGGTTTAAAGACCCCTTTACACTGGAAACAATGACTGACGGCTGGTTATGTGCACTATGTCTATTGATACGTCCTATGTTAGACGTTAAAGCTACAAGTATTTAATTCAGCTAAAAATAAGAAGCCATTACATGTTAACAAAAACCACATATTTAAATAAAAAATAAGTGTATTTTAAAAAATGAATTAGAAGAACTGTGATGATGTTCTTAATTTTTGCAAATCTCTTTTGGGTTTGGTGACAGCTGGATTCCCATACCCGTTTCTGCATTCAATCTGTTGTGACATCACAGATCAAGTGGTTTCTAGGAAAACTCCACAGTGCATTCATGAGAAGTGAAAAAGGCGTATAATACTCTGGTACTACTATTAAAACGGCTACAAAAGCTCAGAGATCCAGGACACACTTTAAGATCACTGCCCTAGAGGAAGGACACAAAGCGCCCCAAGGCACAGACAAGTCCCCAAGGCACAGACAAGTCCCCAAGGGCTACAGAAACCCTGTCCCTGGCGCTCTCCTTTCCCTGCTCTGCGCTGGTTTTCCATACTCCCATCGTCGCGAGTGAAGCTGCGTGCAGCGCCCAGGCCTGCGAACGCCACGAGGGGCCGTGCACACCTCTGCGTCCAGGCCCCTCCCGGGGTCCGCTTGGAGATCCCACAGCCACAGGGCGGCCGCGAAGCTCGTCTTGGCCCTGAGAATTCACTGCGGAGCGCCCGCCCGGCACTGACTCCCGGCTCCGCACACCCAGGCCTGGACCCGTGTCACTTGCAGGGGCCTCCGGAGCCAGCCCACGCTCAGCCTGAGCAACCCGGCCCCCTTCCTGGGCTCCCGAGGCTGCGCCCCGGGCCTCGCAGACGACCCCGCCTGCAGACCCGGGCCGCAGTGACGCAGCCTCGACTACAGCCAACCCGCTGGCCCGACCCTGCCCCCAGCCCCCGCCCCATCCCATCCCCCAGACTCCAGCCCGGCCCCGGCCCCTGCCCCTGCCCCTGCCCCTGTCCCGTCCCCGTCCCATCCTTCTTGGCCCCGGCTCCCGCCCCGCCCCCATCCCATCCCTCGGGCCCCCGTTCCTGCCCCCATCCCATCCCACCCCTCCTGGCCCTAGCCCCTGCCCCGCCCCCATCCCATCCCATCACCCTGGCCCCTGCCCCGCCCCCATCCCATCCCATCGCCCTGATCCCTGCCCCGCCCCCATCCCATCCCTCCTGGCCCCTGCCCCCTGCCCCTATACCATCACCCTGGCCCCTTACTCCGCCACATTCCTTGCCCCAGAACCCTGACCCCATCCCATTCCCCTGACCCCTGCCCCCTGACCCCGCTCCATCCCATCCCCCTGGCCCCTGCCCCATAACTCCGCTCCATTCCATCTCCCTGGCCCCGGACCACCCTCCATCCCGTGGGCCTGCCCCTGACCCCATCCCATCTCCCTGGCCCCTGACCCCGCCCCGCCCCCATCCCATCCTCTGACCCTGCCCGGTCCTGGAACCCCAGCGTTGGCACCGTGGACGCGCGTTTACCGTCTGCGGGAAGCCGCCCCCGACAGAATATCGGCCGCCGATTGTCCGGGCCAGAACTCCTGGCCGGAGGCAGAAGCCGGAGGCCAGGACACTGCCCCCAGCAGCAGGAAGACGAAGCTGAGTGTCGCCATGGCCCCGGGCGGCCACGCACTTCCGGCGGCCGCGCCCCGCCCCGGAACCACGCCCCGCCCCCGTGAAATGCGTTCCCAGTAGCCACGGCAACGCCCAGCTCCGCCCTCCCCGCGCATGCGTTATGCGCCATCACCGGCAAGCAGGGGCGGGAGGGGGAACTGCGCGTGCGCAGAGTCTCCGCCCTCCTGACCGCAGCGGCTAGAGGTTCCATTGCAGACCCGGAGGCCGTGGCTGTGGTTCGCGGCGGTGCTGTCGCGGGCGCCCTGGCGCAGCCCACGCAGGGGCTCCTGAGGGTCCGCGAGGCCGGGAGGTCCGGGGGTCGGGAGGTCCCGGGGTCGGGAAGTCGGTGGACCCTGCAGGCCAGTGGGGAGGGTACGCGAGACTGGGGGCCGGGAGGGCTGACGGCTGGTGGCGCGGGGCGGGTCCGTGGGGAGGAGGCCCGGGGCTGGTAGGGGCGGGAGGGCTGGACGGCGGGGGCGGGGCGGAGGAGGGGGTCCGTAGACGGGGTCGGCGCCGGGTGCTCTCGCCCCTCTGGAGCTGGGGTCGGGGCGGGAGCCGCGCATGAGAGCCTGGGTTTCTAGTCGGGGGGCGCCGTCGAGCTCCACACCTGCGGCCTCCTGGGTGCCCCCAACCCTGGAGCCCCGGCGAGGGGGCACCCGGGCTGAGGCCTGGCCCTCCAAGGAGCCCTGGAGGGACTGTGCTGCTAGGGCGCGGGGCTCGATGGGGTGATCTGGAGACCTGGGGGGATCCGGGGCTGCCGCCCCTGCGCTGCCAACCTCCCACCCCGCCCCTTCTGCGAGGCGTTATTAAAGGTCTGGTTTCGGGAGCCAGGTGCGTGCCCGCCGCCGCCGCTCCCCGCAGCCTCCAGGCAGCTCCCGCTGTTCCCCGAGGGCACCAGCACTGGCCGACCGACCTGGCTTGGGGCGCGGCGCTGGCAAACCCGGCCTTCTGAGGGGACGCCACGCTGACTCTAGTGCAGGCAGCCCCCAAAACGGTATAATTGGACGAATTTCTTGAAGGATGCCAGTTACCAAAAAAGAAAATACTAATGCTTATTATCTGTTAAATTTGAGATCAATTTGTTATCAAATTTTCTCACACAGAAAATTCCAGGCCCAGAGGGCCAAGCTGGTGAATCCTACTTAGAGAAGAAATAATAGGAATCCAGCCACTCAGACGATGGACGAGGAGGGGCACTTCCCTGCTCGATGTATGGGCCAGCATTGCCTTGATAGCAAAGTCAGACATCACCAGACAGTAGAACCACAGACCAATGTCTTTCATGAACCAAGACACAGCATTTAAAAAAATTAGCAAATGGAATTTATATCTGCCTATTGTTTACAAAAAAAGCCAAACTTTGTAAAATACTTGAAGAGATTTATTCTGAGCCAAATATGACCCATGACACAGCCTCAGGACGTCCTGAGAACTTGGCCCAAGGCGGTTGTTTTACTGCTTGGTTTTATTCATTTCAGGGAGACATAAGACATCAGTCAGTACATGTGAGGTGTGCATTGGATTGATCCAGAAAGTCAGGACGACTCCAAGTGGAAAGGCCTCCAGGTAATAGGTGGATTCAAAGATGTTTCTGATTGGCAGTTGGTTGAAAGAAGTTACTATCTGAAGGCTTGGAATCAATAGAAAGGAGTGTCTGGGTTAAGAGAAGGGGCTGTGGAGACCGAGGTCCTTATTATGTGGATGAAATCTCATAGGTGTCCGCCCTCAGAGGCAATACATGGCAAATGTTTCCTATTCAGACCTTCAAAAGGCACTAGACTCTCAGCCAGTCTCCTCAGGATCAGAAAAAGAGCTGGAAAGGGAAGGGGAGTCTACAGAATATGAATTTCCCCACAAGACACCGCTTTGCGGGGCCATTTCAAAATTTGTCAAAGAGATATATTTTGGGGTAAAATACATTGATACTTTGAGGGCCTGTTGTCACGTGATGCTATACCAGCGTCAGATTGGAACTTGGTGTCTTGCTGCTATGGAGTCTGCTGTCAGTCTGGTCAGCTGCACCTGAACTCCAAAGGGAGGTGGGTATAATGAGCCATGTCCAATCCCCGTCCCTTCCTGGCCTGAGCTCATTTTTCAGGTTCTTCAGAATCCCCCTGGTGGAGATGAGGGATCCATTCAGTGGGTTGGGGAAGCTTAGAGTTTTATTTTTGATTTACACTATGTGAAGCAGAAATTAAAATACTGTAACCCTGATAGGGTTATTTTAAAGCTGCAGGAATCAAGGCAGGTTGCCGTGGGTAAGAGGATAGACAGGCAGGTCATGTAGCAGGACGAGCTGCGGACAAAACCCCTCAGACACCAGGTTAAGGAAGGATTTGGCTTTATTCGGCCGGGAGCTTCGGCAGACTCGCGTCTCAAGAACCGAGCTCCCCGAAAACAGAGTTCCTGGCCCTTTTAAGGGCTTACACCTCTAAGGGGTCCACGTGAAAGGGTCGTGATAGATTGAGATCACATGTGGTTAGAGTGGGAGGGGGGGTAATCTTTTAACCTCAGGCCTGGTCATCGGTGGCACCGGCTGGTCTTGCTGCTGACTTCATTCCTGTTGTTTTTCAACTTTTACTTCATCCTTCTCTTCAGAGACAGGAGACAGTAAAAGAAATGGCCTCTCTCCTCTGTCAGAGTGGAGTCCCGAGCTCCCAGAAATGCCACATGATGGACAAACGCTTGGGGGAAAAAAAAAAAAAAGGAGACCTCAGTCGGACACAAAAGCAGGAGCTTTAAAAGAAAAAATAAGAGATAAGTTGAACTTCACCAAAAAATAAGCGTTTCTGGTCTTTGAAAGACACTTAAAATGAAAAGGCAAGCCATCGATGGGGAAAATACTCAGAATAATGGATCTGACAGAGGGCTGTATCTAGAATATATGAAGATATTTTAAAATCCAGTAATTTGACATAAAGATGGTAGCCAGCCTGACACACAAAGGAACCCGAATGGCCAATGGACAGGAAGGGAACCCGTATGGCCGATGGACAGAAAGGGAAGTGAACGTGAACATCTCATTGGGGATGCCGTTATCACCACTGGAATAGTCAAAAACATGGACACCAAGTATTGGTGGGTGAGTGGAATGGCGGGAACCCACATACACGGTCGATGGGAGCTGCACCCTTTGGAAATCATTTCACAGTTTGTGCTCCATCCTGGCCAAACCCACAGCTGGAGTCTTTCCAAAAACAGTGACGGGAGTTTCCACCAGGGAGTGCCTCAAACCATCCCGAGATGGGGCTGGTTGGGATTCCAGGGAGAGGCACTCGTTGCCAGGGTGATCCGTCCAGAGCACTTCCTAGGGGATCTGGCATAAGGAGGGCTGCAGTGTATCCTCAGGACAGATAGGACAGATAGTGTATCTTTGGGACAGACGGCAAGATGGGGATTCCACCCAGGTCTGTCTGCAGCGAGTTGATATGAGAGTTTAAGGAATTTGGACCAGGGCTGCTTTGTTTCAGGGTTTTGGGCAATGACCTAAACACCTTTATCAGTGCCTGGGAATGCTCAAGGCCCAGCTTGAGTTCAGGCCTGCAGGGAAAACCTGCAACTGGCCGGGCTGCAGAGTGGTCAGGGCACGGAAAGCCAGAAGCTGGGGACACACCTGCTGTATGATCCAGCCGTTCGTCTTTACCTGGGAGAAATGGCACCACCTGGCTGAACATAACTTCTTACACTCCCATGAGTCCTCCTGGACAGGTGCTGTGACCTCGTGCAGCCTTGGGGACCCTGACACTCCCACGGACAGGCCAAGGGGTTTGCCTGGGCCCTGTGGGCACAGAGCCCCTTGAGATGGGTTTCCCTATGCAGCCCCCCACCCCCCACCGGGGACCCATGGCACTGCAGCCCTCACCCCCCCTCTAGGGACCCACAACACTGCAGCCCTCGCCCCCCTCCGGGGTCCCACAGCACTGCAGCCCTCGCCCCCCATCGGGGACCCACAGCACTGCAGCCACGCCCAGGCCACCGCCTCCAAACACAGGGCCGCTGCTGTTTCTGTGAACAGATACTTCTTGCAGATGTCAATGGTTAATGGATGGGGAGGTGACCGCCCAAGCAGAAGCCGACCCTCTTCATGAAGGGGCCACAGGTCACCCCGAAGCAGAAATCCATAGAACAGCCAAGGCCACAGCGGAACCGAGCAGGCCACGCCTCTGCCTCTGGGCCGCTCAGGGCCAGGCCTCCCTGACCCCACTGGCTCTATTGTGAGGACTCAGGGTGGAGCTCTGCTGGGCTCAGTGGCCTTCACAGCCGGGGTCCACAGACCCGGGTCCTACGGGCAGTACTGTGCTCACCTAGAGGCCACGGTCCATGCCCTGTCTCCAGCAGGCCCAAGTCACTTGTCCATGGCGAAGGCCCGGCCTTGCTTCAGGCCCCGGGCGCGCTCCCCCTGCTCCCCCTGCCCACCGTTTCTTCCCAGGTGACAGAGGCGGGAGAGCAGGCGAGCCACGTGCCGGGCGCCGCAGCAGGGGGCACTCCAGGCTGGCGCCCCTCTGCCTCTCCGTGGGCTCTGACCTTTCTTCTCCCTGCCTGGGCAGCCTCCTTCAGGTTGGGGAGTCTTTTGTTGACCCCTGGATTAAAGTCCTAATCAGGAATGACCCGGAAGAGGTCTTATGAGGCTTTCCTCAAGAGAAGAAAATCTGTCCCTGAGTATCAGGAAGTGGCCCCTTTCCCTGCACCGCAGTCTTCTGTGACCAGCGGCTCACACAGCGAAGGAGGGGCTGGCGGCCCCCACAGGCCACTGCCCCGAGGCCGCCACGAGAGGGCAGGAGAGCCCTTCCTGGGAGCTCTGTGCCACGGGGAAACGCAGCCCCGCCAAGCACAGCATGGATGTTTCCAGCAGGGAATGAAGAGAGAGGCCCCAGCACATGAGAGAAGAGCACACTGGGCGGCCCCTGTCGGAGCCTCTCCTGTCCCCAGCGACCCCTGAGAGCAGGCCCTGGGCCTCTGCGGCCCCTCCCGGAGCCACTCTTCAACTGCTGACCTGCTCCCAGCTCTTCTGTGCCCCGCCCAGCTCCCTGCAAAACCTCACCTGAGGGGAAGGAGGCCCTGTTTGGGCTCAGACGCAGCAGGTGCAGCTTGTGGTCCTGGGGCCACACCTGTTAGAGCCCATCCTTCTACCCCTGCTGGGCCCTGAGTGTCGTCCGTCCCCACAGAACTCAGCAGGGTCAGGTCTGGGCACTCCAGGCCGCCAGCCCCCTGAGTGAGCCCTGGGCCGGAGGTAGTTGTGGGTCACAGGCACCCCAGCCAGAACACCCACAGTGGGTAGATGTGTGGGGACCGGATGTGGGTCCTCTCCTGAGAGACGTGCAGATGGGGAGAGGCTGGGCAGTTCTCAGCACAGCTGGAGCATCTACCTGTCACCACCTCGGAGCCTCCTGGCCCCGTGGGGGCGGCCCTGGGAGCAGGGTCGGCAGTGAAGAGCAGAGAAAGGCAGTTGGGGATGTTGCCACTGTCCCCCGAGACCACCCTGCCATGGAGACGAGGGAGCTGTCCCTTCGCGGAAGGGGGCTGGCCAGCAAGAAGGACAGAGAGTGGACTGGCCGAGGACCGCTGAGCTCAGGACCCAAGGAGGACTCTTCTAGGAGACGAGAGAGCGAACGCCAGGGACCCTGTGCAGGCCTGCTCCTCCGTTTGCAAGGTGAGTTACCAGGTTCACGTGTTTGGAGTTTCTGGACTCATTGCGGAGTTCCACCCCTGCACGTTGCGGTTCCCCAGTAATCAAATCCTGGCTTTTGTGCCTGGAAGTGCACAGGGAGGGGACAACTTTGTGAGTCAGTGGCAGGGCAGGGAGTTCTGGTTCTCCAGAGCCAGAGGCCGTGCTCAGAAGGATTTCTTAGCAGGAGCCTTGGGGCCCCCAGTCAACACTTCCCTACGGACAGCCTGGCCAGCTCTGTGCACGGAGCAGGCGCCCGAGGGTCCCAGGTCACCAAGTGACCAAGTCGTGAAGGCGCCCAGGGTTTCCTGGGGGTGCGCTGATCCCAAGGAAGCCACGTGTGGTCAGCATGGGGGAGGGGACCAGCGCCCCGGGGGGCCTGCAGCACAGCAGGGCCTGCCCTCCTGGGTGAGACTGGCCGGTGCCTGTGGGGATCTGGGGGGCTACAGTCAGGGCTCTGTGCTCCCGAGGGCCACGCCAGCCCACCTGCCCTGGAACAGAACCCGAGGCTTCTGCCTAGGGGAGTACCTGGGCACCTGCCTCCTGTGCTGCCCTGGACACATCCCAGCGGCTGCACATAGGGGAGGCACAGCCTGGGCTCAGGGCCAGGGTCCACTCTGTGGGGATACTAGACCCGGGGGTGACAATGCCAGCTCAGAACTTCCCCCCACACCTGGGCTCCTCCAGCCTGGCCTTTCCTGGGGAAGGGAGGGCCTGTCCTTCCTCAGCACTGTGGGAGGGAGGCAAGGCCTGCGGTTGAAGCGTCCCCAACACGGGGCTCCAGGAGAGAAAGCACCACATCTCAGGGAATGAAAACAGAGACGGGGCCGCCCAGTGCACTCGGTGGCTCGGAAATCATTAAAGAATGTTCTGAGCCCCCGATTTTGGCTGTAAAAGGGACTGGCCGGCTTGTGACCGCTCCCCTGTCTGTGCCTTGAGACGGGAGTGTTCAGCGTTGGGGGCAGCTTTCCCTCCAAGAGGAGCTTCACAAACATCCGCTCTCTGCGGGGCCGCCTCTCCGTGGCCTGGGGCCGCTGTCGGAGGAAGGCTCTCCAGCTGCCGTCATCTGGGAAACGTGGGGGGCGAGCAGGGGTCATGGATGGGGCTCACTGGGGACTGTGAGAATCTGTCCCGCAGGACTTTCTGGGATGGAAACGCTGGCAGAGGTGAAGCCTGCGTCATGTGCTTCACTGAACCCGGCTGCTTATTTATGTTCGGAGGGCTGGTTTCAAGGACTCCTCGTCTCCCTCTCCAGTGATAGCGTCAGCGGAAATGCAGACGGGGACGGGGCTGCTGGGTTTCCTCCCTGGAATGAAGCACAGCCGGAGGTTTTGCTGATTCACCAGCAGGCCCTGACCGCTGAGTTCAGGGTAACAAATCCACATGGATCCTGAGCCCGCATAGCTCCCTGGGCCTCAGCATAAACATCGTAAACCTCCGGGCCCTGGCAGTGTCTGTTTCATCCCCTCCAGAGCAAGTGCAAGTGTGAGATTTAGAGATTCTAAGAGGGGAAGGGCCAGAGGTCTTGAAAACGACCTTCATTCGTTCATTCATTCGAGAAGTTTGCGAGGGCCTCCGTGTCCTGCGTTTAGTGGGGCCTAGGACGCAGATGTGAAGGGCGCTGCTCTCAGGAGCAGACAGAGGTGGGGATGAATCAGTACACGCCCACCTCGGGCCCACAGGGGAGGATGCGCGGAGCTGTGGGTGTGGGGAGGAGACCCCTCTGCGTCATGCTGACGGTGTCGGCAGAGTCGCCAGCTTCTGCAGGAGCGGTACCTGTGGGTTCTTCTGTGACTTGTTTAACCGCATCTTTTGCCCAGTAGTTAGTCTTTTCCTGTTGGGACACCATGTTGGTAGTTTGGAAATGGTTTCTTCCATCCATTGCCTGCCTTTTAGCTTTGTCGATGGTGTTCTGTTGTAAATTTTGGTGCACGTTTAATGTGAACAATGGTTATGAGACGAGTGCCATGAGTTCCTGTGTGCCTGTCACCCAGCCCGGCCACAAGAGGTGCTGGGGGCAGTGTCCACACCCCCCTTTCTTAGGACGCCTGAGTCTCAGATGTGACTTATAGGGTATTTCTTATGGCAAGACGGTTAAAACAAACTTCAGCGTCTCGTCTGTCCTTCTATGGCTGTGGCTTCTGATGTTCTAATGGCGTTCTCGTCAGCCGGGGCTGAGAACAAAATAACATAGACTGTGGGGCTTAAACAGCAGAAACTTACTTCCCACGGTTCTGGAGGTTGGGAGTCTTGGATCACCGTGTAGCATGGTCAGGTTCCTGGTGAGGGTGGGATTCCTGGCTAACGTAACGAAGGCTCCCTCTCCTGATACCGTGTCACTGGGGGTGAGGCTTCAACACAGGAATTTTGGGGGGACACATCAGCATTCACTCCATCACAGGTGGTTAGCCCTTTAATCCGCGGGAATTTTGTTTGGGGTTGTGTGAGATACGGGTCTAACGTTTTCTTTTTCAAATACGTAGCCAGTTGTCACATCATTTATTGAAAAAGGAATCTTTTCTCCACCGACTGACATGAAATGCTACCATCATCGTAAATAAAATTCCCGTAAATACTTGCTGTCTCTGCTGTCTCAGTCCTGACTCACGGGCTGAGTTCTCTTTCTGCACAGTAGCACTGGCATTAACTGTGACAGCTTTACAGCAGGCTCCCTCCCCGAGGCCGTTCAGAAGCATTCCTCAGCGGGTCCTACACGTTTCCTCTCCCATGTCAAGTTTAGAAGCAGTGTCAAGACCCACAGCAGTCCTGCGGGAGTTTTAAGGGATGCACGGAGTTTATGGGGACAGTTTGGAAAATTGACATTCATGTGACTTAGAGTCCTACTACTTGAAAATGGATTCCAGCTCTCAACGAATTTAGAGCTTTGGCAAAATTTTTAAGATTTCTTTGATGTCCGATGTGCTCATTTCTTGGTTTGTTCTTGAGTATTTTGTGGATTTTTATGAAATCCACAAAGTTTTTGTTATAATGAATGGGACACTTTCCCATAAAATGTTGTAATTCTGTATTGCTGTTTTAGTAAACACTGTTGATTGATGTATATTGATGTTACACTTGGTCACTTGTAATAGTTTGTCCGTTCATTATTTTGAACTTTTTAGGTAAACAGTCATATAATTATGCAAATAATTATAGTTGTGTCTCTGCCTTTCTAATATTTATACTTTGTGTATATTATCATGTTGGCCAGGACTCAAGCGTCTTTCTCTTGTTTCTGACTAATGCGAATGATTCTAATGCAGGGGTTTCCAAACTGGTGGCCGGGGGGCCAAATCCAGCCAATGGTCTCTTCTTGTAAATAAAGTTTTATTGGAACACAGTTACACACATTTTTCTACATATTGTCTGATGGCTACTGTCACGCCACAGCAATGCTGTTAAATAGTCCAGACAGAGGCGGTATTGCCCGAAAAACCTAGAATATTCACCATCTGAGCTTTTACGGGAAAATTTGCTAATATCTGTTCTCATGCATTAAATACAATGTTTGTTACAGGTTAAGGAAGTTTCTGACTATTTTTAGCTTTCTGAATATCTTGTGGTTGTGTGTGCTTTAAAATTAGGACTAAATATTAAATTTACCAGTTGCTTGTTAGGGGCCTATCTTTTGAGATGCCCAAAGTTTCCCTTTTTTAGTCTCTTCATGTAGTGAGTTGTACTAACAGATTCTCTAATGTTGAACCGTCTTTGCTTTCCGGAGATAGACTTTACTTGCTCCTGGTGGATTGGATTCTGTTTGTTAATACTTTTATTTTTGGGTAATTACATCCCTATTATAAATAATATGTCAGCATCATTGTGTGTAGATGTGTGTGTGTTATTCTTGCCATTAGTTTCTCAGGTTTTTGGTTAACTATTGATATGGTTTGGATCTGTGTCCCCACCCAAATCCGATGTTGAATTGTAATCCCCAGTGTTGGAGGTGTGGCCTGGTGGGAGGTGGTTGGATCATGGGAGTGAATTTCTCATGAATGGTTTAGTACCTTCCTCTTGGTACTGTTCTCGCAATAGTGAGTTCTCGCGAGATCTGGTCGTTTAAATGTGTGTGGCACCTCCCTGACCCTCCTGCTTTTGCTCTGGCCATGTAAGACGCACCAGCTCCCCTTTCACCTTCTGCCACGATTGAAGGTTTCCTGAGGCCGCCCCGAAGGTTCCCATACAGCCTGCAGAACCATGAGCCAATTTAACCTCTTTTCCTTATAAATTACCCAGTCTCAGGTATTTCTCTATAGCAATGTGAGAATAGACTCATACAACTATATATTACAGAATGAATTGTGATACTTTTGTCTTTGTCTGTGCCTGGAAATGATAGTAATTCTTAGTAAAAATTCACCTGTATCAAGTTCTTCCTATTGCAACAAACACAATTCTATATATTTTACATGAGTTAAGTCCTTAACCTGGAAGTCATCCCTGTGAACTAGGTATTGCTTTCGTGTCCATCTGACAGATGAAGAGGCTGAGAGTTTAAGTAGTCTGCCTAAGGTCACCAGCCATGGGGGCGAAGATGGAATTTGAACTGAGCCGTTGGCCTTCAGAGGACAGGTTCCTAAACGGTCATTCTGTCTCTCTGTTGCAGAGATCAGTCCTGCATATTCCTGTAAAAAACTGCCTGAGCTTGGTGCTTTTTTAAAGGATATCATTTGACTACTTTTTTTTTTTTCTGTTTCCTGCCCATGTCCCATAGGGCTAATCAGATTTTCTATTTCTACTTGAGTCAATGTTATACTTTATATTTTCATTTTTGTTGTTTTTAAATGTTACACTATTTTTTGAGATAGAGTCTCGCTCTGTTGCCCAGGCTGGAGTGATCTCTGCTTATTGCAACCTCTGCCTCTCAGGCTCAAGCAATTCTCCTGCCTCAGCCTTCTGAGTAGCTGGGATTACAGGTGTGTGCCACCACACCCGGCTAATTTTTGTATTTTTAGTAGAGATGGGGTTTTACCATGTTGGCCAGGCTGGTCTTGAACTCCTGACCTCAAGTGATCCACCTGCCTCGGCCTCCCGAAGTGCAGAGATTACAGGCATGAGCTACTGTGCCCAGCCATACTTTATATTTTCTAAGAAAATCATCTGTTTAACCTGGCTTTTAAAATGTGTCAGTATAAGCCAGAACATGGTGGTTTTATAATTGAAAAAACCTAGTGTCTGCCTGTGTCTTCCCCGAGGTCTTCTGGGTGGAGACTGGGAAGCAGGGGCCAGTCCACAAACACACCTCATGTTACCGTTCCCTGTAGGAACCCTCAGCTCTGTGGCCATCTCAGATTAACATCCACTCCTCCTGCAGAATTTGAAAGGAGAGTTGCTATCACCAAATCCCTTCAGGTCTCAACATTTACCCAGGTTACCTTGATTCCAGAGATGGCTCTTAACTTGATTTCTATAAACCAGTAGAGAATGTGTCTGATGGCACAGAGGAAAACACTGTCAACACGAAGTTCCTGAACAGTTTAAAGAGATGACACAGATGTTTTTTAAAGTAACCCATCTAAATCACTGGAAATGCCCCTTTCTCCCTATTTTGTCAATGGATGGAAATGTGTTGAGAAAGGTGCTTATTGTAAGAGAAACAGAACAGAATTAAAGCTACTAATACCAATTCAAAATTGGGGAATGGCTGGGCGTGGTGGCTTATGCCTGTAAGCCAAGCACTTTGGGAGGCGAAGGCGGGAGGATTGCTTGAGCCCAGGAGTTCGAGACCAGCCTGGGCAGGATGGCAAGACCCCGTCTTTACAAAAAAAATTTTTTTTAATTAGCCAGGGGTGGTGGCAGACAACTGTAGTCCCAGCTACTCAGGAGGCTGAAGTGGGAGGATGGCTTGAGCCGAGGAGGTGAGGGCTGCACTTTTAATTTTTTTTTGTTTGCTTGCTTGTTTGAGATAGTGTCCAGCCTGGATGACAGAGCAAGACCCTATCTCAAAAAAAAAACCCACAAAAAACAAAACTGGAGGAAAATCCAGAAAAGTAGGGGACATCAACAATCAACACACTGTAAAACTGTCATCTCAAACACGGTAATGTGTGCGTGCCCCTCGCTGGGGCTGAGTGTGTGTGACACTGCGCAGGCTTACAGGCCCCTGCACGTTTCGGCGTCTGTCCTCTGCGGATGATAACGTGCTCCTGCCGGAGCCGCTGGGGCGGTGTCTGCACTGGGAGGAAGCCCGTTGGGCTGTCATCATACCCTGCTCTGTGGGAACCTTCCAGACGAGACGGTCACTTCGGGGCAGACATTTCCTAAAGGGGCTTAGAATCAAAATCCAGGAATAAGGACATGGAATGCTGAGTGGTTTCACAACCAAAATAGAGTTTATGTCAATATTGAATATTAAACGACAACAATTAAAGCCAGCCGGGACTGAACAGCTGCCAGTGCGCAGCCTGGGTGGGGGCTCAGGACAAGGGGCTCTTATGGAGCCCCTCGAGACCCCCAGGAGGTGGACACTGCCCCCAGCTCTTGGTGGAGCCCTTGGGCTGCAACAGCAGGAACTGAACCCCAGGGGCTTTGGGGTTAAGAGAAGAATGTCTGGACGTTAGCGGCAAAAGCAGGCGGGTGGGGCAGTGAGCACAAGCGGGGGTGCCCCTGATACTGGCTACCCCTCCACATCTATCTCTGTCCGGGTCTGCCTCTGTCCTCGGCACACGGCACGCGCTGCTCCGGGGGCGGCCGCGCCACAGGTGAGCGGAACACGGTTCGAGGAAGGTGGGCCGGGCACAGGGCGGCCCGTGGTTGCAGGTACCAGAGCTTGCTGGAGCTGGCTGGGCTTTGAGGATCAATCACCTGGTTCTGCAGATGTAGAAGTATGTAAAGTAATCAGCACTTTCACCAGGGCAGGACTCGGATCCAGGCCAGCAGCTGCCCAGCCCAAGGCTCCTTGCACCACCGTGTGAGCCACATACTTTCCGGATAGGAGAAGGTCCAGAAGGTGAAGTCTGCGCCCAGGACCTGCAGAGGTGAGAGGTGAGAGGTGAGGGTCAAGCATTCCATACCCCGGGTTCCCTGGGGCCCCGCCCCTCTGCACAGTGACAGTCGTTTGGGAGAGGTTTCCCACAGCTGGCCTTCCCTTCAGACCACTTGAGACTCCCATCGATGGAATGTTCATCCTCTAACTGCACAATTTTTTGCAAACCACAACTTTCTATCTTAATCTCATGAAACTGGGAATCCCAGACCATGAGAAAGTCAGGAAATGGCTTTGAACACCGGCAGGCGCTGCACAGCGCTGGGGGAGGGGGACGAGCCTGGGAACTGTCTCTGCTGAGGATCTCGGCCCCACGTAGCCCGTCCTTCAGACCCTCATGCGGTTCATCCCCTTCTGTGGCTCTTTTTCGGAGCCCCCCTACCCAGAACGTCCCACCCCAAGGCACGCAGTGGGTGCCCCTGCGGGGTCTCAGGCAGCTCCTGACTTCCAGTGAGTCCTGGGCGCCGCCTGCAGGAGGTGAAGACGCCAGGACCGTCGCTCGGGCCTCTCGGGTGGCTCTCGGGTCAGAGGGCCGCCCTACACCCTCACCTGTCCCAGAAGCCCCCCACACCCGCAGCTGTCCACTCCCCTCCGGGGGCCTCTGCTCTTCCCCTGCTGCCTCCCCCAGGACTTGCTCCTCCCTCATCCTCCATCCTCCTCCGCCTCAGCATCCCGTTAGCTCAACACCACCCTTCAGCACTGCTCAGCCACAGGCAAAGCAGAGTAAAACCCGAAACCGCCCCGAGATCCCCACGTCTCCAGTCGGACCCTGCTTCCCGGAGCGCCGCCCCCGCCTGCTGCCCGGTGTCACCCGCCTCGTGCCACCCCCGTGGCCCCGGCCGCCCCTGAGGCTCCCCAGGTGGGGGGCATGTGGCCGCCTCCCTGTTTTCGCTGTGGGTGATCCTGTGACTTCATCCGCCCCAAACTCGCCGGCTCCTTGGCAGCAACTTGATTTGTCTTTTGTGGGGCAGGTGCTCTCTTCCCCCACGTGGGTCCTGCTCTCTGTGGCCTCCCTCGAGGTCACCTGCAGGGGCCTCTGTAGGTTGCATTGAGAGGGGCCTGTGGGTCCTGCCCCCCATCCGACACTGAGCGTTGTAGGACTCACATCGGGGAGCCCCTGCCACGTTTAGGCCTCACAGCAGCCCTGGGGGTGGACGGGTCCCACAGGTTGGCCACAGCCCCCCAGTGCCTCCCTGTGAGCCATCCTGACCGCCAGAAGGCCCCCGGTGACACCAGCACAGTCTCCCTCTGGGTTCCCACACCCAGGCCACAGGGCACTCAGGGGCAGGCTCGGCAGGGAGTCTAGTCCAGGAATTGGTACCGACTTTTCCTGGCTTCTCGAAGGTTCAGCTCTGGCCAGGGTCAGGCCCAGGAGGCAGAGCAAAACCCAAAGCTCCCTGAGACCCCCACCTTTTCTGACGGGGCCCCCGGGGACCTCGGGGTATGGAACGCTTGACCCTCGCCTCTGCCTCTTTTGAGCTGCAGTCTGGGGCAGGTGTGCGCCTCCCCGCTCAACCCAACAAGAGGCTGATCTAAGCCCCGGCCCCATGCGGGGCTGCATCCCTGCAGCACGGACCAGATGCAGTCCTGGCTGTGCCCGGCACCTCCCATCTCGCAGCTGAGGGTAACCAGGGTGGTGTGGGGCTTGTCCCAGGGCTGGCGGTTGCTGAGGAGAAGGGACACACGTGCTGACTGGGAAATGCAGGCCCGGCTCTGACGGCGAGGTCCGGGTTGCGGTTTCCACGTCTTCGTCACGAAGCCTCGAAGTGCTGCCTGTGCTTAGCAGTGAAAATATTTACTTGGAGATGTTCAGTTTCACAGAAGCCAGGAAGGGGCGGGGGTGGTGCGGAAGCATTGTTCCCCAGAGCACGCGGGAGGCGGCCCAGCCCTCAGCCAGGACGCTCCCCCACCTCACCCTCGCTGGGCTGTGGCCCTGGGGACGCCACCACTGGCCTCACACCGTGGAGCGTGGATAGGCCGCTCTGGCCTGTCTGCAGGGGAAATGGCTGTCACTTCCATCAGAGATGACGGACACAGCAGGGCCTGTCTCTGCCAAAACCAGAGTCGAGGCAGTCCCCGGCAGCCGGTGTATGGGGAACCCCTCAGCTTCCGTGTGGAGGGTCAGGGAGGCTGGATGGCTTTTCCTTCCGTTCCTGTAGGCCCGAAGCCTTCCCCGGATGCACTCATGACCGGGGCCTGGCCAGCAGGCGTCCGGGAGTCAGCGGCTGCTTGGGGAACCAGGGCCCCACTCACACGCGGGAAGGTGATGGTGGCAGGCAGACTGGTAGCTGAGAGCGAAAGGTGTGGCGGGATCCGCCTGGCTGCTGCTGGAGCCCCAGGCTCGTGAATCGCCTCTGCGTCCCGTCCCCTGCGTTGGGCAGCTTCACCTGCTCATCCTGCTCGGCCTGGGTGTTTCTGCTCCTAAGCGCCCCCCTCACGGTGGTCTTGGGAGGCTGATGTGAGAGATCCCCGCTGGCTGCAGTCTCCAGGGAAGCCGGCATTCGGGGCACACGGAGGTCCTGCCTTGGTGCCCAGCCTTGGGACACCCCACAGTGAATGCCTCCTCTCCACGGTCTCCATGTCCCTGAGCTCCTGCTTAGGCCCCCAGAGCTGGCACTAAGGGTGGATGCAGCAGCTGGTGCACATGACAGGGACGGCAGAGCCCATCCGAAGGGACATGCCACCTGGAAGCCACCTGCACCGGCTCTGTCTGGTGTCTGACGTGGGAAGGACGTGCTGGAAGCCCATGGGTGTGTGGGAGGCCCGGGCCTCGAGCCATGTCTTGGTGCGTGTCGGGGGGACGTGTTCTGTGAAGATGCCGCAGCTGCCTCACCTCCTTTCCATGTGCGGGGATGGGTGGGCAGCGTCCTTGCCAGGGGTGTTCCCGGCAGAGGGAGGAGAGCATCACCCTTGGGCCAACACCGCCACCAGCAGCGGCCGGACCATGGAGCTGAGCATCAGCTGGACCCAGGGCAGCGAGGGGCTGTGGGCGGCACCTGTGCAGCAAATGTCAGCACCTGGTTATGAATGATGTTTAACGACAGAAGTGTGGTCACAGCGAATTCATCACCCTTGGAATTTGAGGCATGCTCTGTCCAGCGCAGTGTCAGGGCTGAGTGGGGCCCCCAAAATCCATATACTGGATCCTCAACTCCCAGGACCTCAGAGTGGGACTGGATTTGGAGGTGGGGCCTTTAAGGAGGTGATTACAGTAAAAGGGAGTCACTGGGGTGGCCCTGTCCAGTCTGACTCCCAAGAAGGAGATGAGGACCCAGAGCGCACAGAGGGGCCCTGGGAGGGTGGGAGGAGCCATTGACTGCCAGCCAGGGGGGTCCCGGAGGCCCTGGCCCCGCAGCACCTGGACAGTGGGCCCCACCCTGCAGGACTGTGGGAGAATCGATGTGGGACGCCAAGCCCCCGTTCATGGTCCTCCGTCCCAGCTGCCGAGCAGACTAATCTGACCGCAAGGTTTGGGCCACACTGGGCTGGGCTCGGCTCGTTATTGGTCAGCCCTTGGGCACTGTGAGTTCAGCCAGAACTGCCTCCCACATCAACCATCTCCCTGTAAACACGGACCCTCGGACAGCCCTTTCCTGAGGCATAATCCCACCCTTCAAGGTAGAGCCCTCAAGGGCGTTCCCACCTCAGCAACTCCCCCAGCCATCACACCAAACATAGCCCAGACCAAAGCCAGACGCTCTCTGAGCTCCAAGGACCGGCTTGGGCCCACACCTTCCCACCATGTTTACCCCTGCTGGTGTCATCTGTTCAGTTCCAGCCAGACCACAGGGCCTCTCACCTTCCCTCCCACTGTGGCTGCCATCCTCTGGCCTGGACCGTGTCACCCTTCCACCCTCCTGGCTGAGCTTGCCCACCTTCTTGGAACGCTCTCACAAGCCCCCCTGCCAGAAGGCTCTCCTCTGGACCACCTGACCCCACAGGCCCCTCCGCTGCTCCCCTGGCCACACCTCTCCGTGAGGCTGTCCATCTGTGGCAGCCGTGGTGTGGGTGAATTTCATCATGCTGACACTCCTCCACACCTGCTCCGTGCCTGGCAGTCATGGTCCAGGGGCTGGATGCCCAGGGTAAAGTGGGGAAGAAGGTGATAGGCACCCAGCCACATGCTCCGTGCCCACAGATCCCTGGGGCCAGCCAAGCTGCAGGTGCCCTCCCTCAGGTGAGAGTCCACTCGGCCTTGTGATTCCTACAGAATAGCCCTTCTCTCCTTCTCCTGTGTCTCTCCAGGGGCCAGGGAGGAGATGCTAGGGGCAGAGAGCCAAGGTGGGGTCTCAGCCTGGGAGCGATGGCACTGCTGTGGTTTCAATGTCTGTGTTCCTCCGAAATCCATGTTGAAACTTAATCCCCAGCGCAACAGTGTTCAGAGGTGAGGCCTTCGGGAGGGTTAGGCCGTGAGGGTTCCACCGTCAAGGGTAGGATTAGAGCCTTACGAAAGGGCTGTCTGACTGGCCAGGCCCCTTTTGCCCTCCTGCCTTCTGCTATGAGAGGACACAGTAACAAGGGGACCACCTTGGAAGCAGAGAGCAGTCCTCGCCAAACACCAAACCTGCCGGGGCCCTGGTTTCAGACTTCCCAGACTCCAGAGCTGTGAGCAGTACATTTCTGCTCCTTATGAGTCACCCAGTCACAGGTACCTTCTTACAGCAGCACAAAGGGGCCACGGCAGCCTGGGACCGCCCAGCCCCACCATGCTTCCTGCAGATGCGAGCAGCCAGGGTGCCAGCCACACAGGGTGCTTCTCGCTTTTAATTTTACTTTTTATTTCAAAACAATTTCAAATACACCAAAAAGTTGCAAGAATAGTACAAAGAGTACGTATTCTTCACCTAGAGACCTATTCAGGTTTTACCAACTGTCCCAATAATGCCTTTTTTCTTTCTTTCTTTTTTTTTTTTTTTGAGAAGGAATCTCACTCTGTCGCCCAGGCTGGAGTGCAGTGGTGCGATCTCAGCTCACTGCAAGCTCCGCCTCCCAGGTTCAAGTGATTCTCCTGCCTCAGCCTCTCGAGTAACTGGTACTACAGACATGTGCCACCACATCTGGCTAATTTTTGTATTTGTAGTAGAGACGTGGTTTCACCATGTTGGTTGGCCAGGCTGGTGTCGAACTCCTGACCTCAAGTGATCTGTCCACCTCGGCCTCCCAAAGTGCTGGGATTACAGGGATTATAAGACTTCATGCTCATCCTCAACCTGGAACAGTCCTCAGTCTTTCCTTGACTTCTAAGACCTTGACTCTGTGGAAAAGAGAAATACTGTCAGTTTCGGTTTATTTCATGGTTAGACGCAGGTTGTCGGTGGAGGGAGCTGGTTCATCTGGGTTGGGAGGTGGGCGTACCGATGTGTCCACTCCAGGGGGCATTGACCTTGACCATCTGGGGAACGTGGCGTCTGCAGGGGTCTCCACTGGAAATTCCTTCCTTCTCTGTCATTCATGCACATTTCGTGGGGACACTCAGAGGTGATGTAAAACCCCATTCTTCACTCCACGTTCACCACCAGGTTTGGCACTGACTGATGTTCTTGTTGCCTGAATTAATTGTGACAGCAACGGCTGCTGGGGGGAATTCCTCATGCGGTCACTTATCAACTGGAATTCTACCGGGGTGGGTGAGCTTTCTTTTTCCCCCATTTATTAATTAAGTATATTGACATCTATATAGAACCACAGAGTCTCATTTTATGCATGGGCCATCATCTGTTCCTGTCCTTCTTCAGTTTATTTTGTTGTTAAGTTTGTCTCAGCGGGGGACCCTTCAGGCTGGCATCTGTGTCTTTTCCATCCATGTTTCCTGGCATTTTCTTACTTTGCAGACGCACGCACACACACATTTCATCTGCAGATTCTTCTACCTATTTGTATTGGGAACCCTGCATTCCGGTGCTACCGAGGTGAATCTAATACCGTGTGCGCCGCTGTGGCTGCCGTCCTCTCTACATCGCACCTCCCGTCAGCCCCGCCGGCCTCCCTGCATGTGCTCACGTGCTCGGTCTCCTGTGCGTAACCGGTCTTCTGACCCTTGGGGCTCAGACCGGCCTAGAGGCTGCGTCCCCTAAAGCTGCCCGCTGTCCTGCTCCAATACCTCCTCCATGGAGCCCAGACCCCCACCGGGCACCCTCCCTGCCTGCGTGGGAAGGAGTGGGTCTTTCTGAATTCAGCTTTCTCTGAAATGAGGGTGGAGTCTCTGGTGGAAGGGGGGCCCTCGCTCTGCCGCACCCTCTGCGGGAGGGAGCGGTGAGGTGCAGGCTCTGCTGGTCCTAGGGCAGCTGTGCTCAGGCCAGGCAACAGAGGAAGGGGTGCCTACAGAGGCTGCAGGGTACCTCAGGCCACCCTTGCTGCCCCATCCTCAGGTGACATGGGGAGGACCTCGCAGGGAGCCTGGCTGGTCCACTGTCCCTCCTGCTTCATCTCTCACTCAGGCCCTAGGACTCTGCCCCAGCCAAAGCTAGCGTGGGCGATTCATGGCTCGCCGCTGCGGCAGCTGAGCACCATCAGAAGTGACCCCATTTGTGACTGTCTTGGCCTGAGAATGTTCCACGAGTGAGAACGTGCCCCTCCCTGCAGCCAGTGTCCCAGACTCCCCCGCAGCCCAGGCAGGGGCTGGGCTCGGGCGCTGACGCAACAAGGAGAGCGCTTGTCTCCGGGCAGCCAGGCGGCCAGACAGCCGGTCCACTTAGCTTCGCTGCTGCGGCCACAGCTGCCCATGGCACACAAAGGGCCCTTGTTCCCACCCAGCATGTGCTCCCGGCGCCCCCCCACCGACCTCTCCCGGACATGATTAGGTGTGGGAACTATTTTCCTTAGGGCTGCATTTGACATTTGCCGTTCATTTGGGAGGAGGCGTCTGAACCGAAGGAGCCCTCGCCAGCCTCCCCTCCCATTCCCATCTCAGTGCAGGAGGTTTAGGAGCAGGCGGCCCTGACATGCCTGTGACCCCAGACGGGCCTGTGCAACCCAGGCCTTCGTTGCCTTCCACTCAGAACAGGAGAGTCTGGCCCAGGAGGGCGGCGGGCAGAGAGGACGAGAGGAAGACGGAGCCGGGGTGCACAAGCACACACATGCGTGCACGTGCAAATACACATCAGGGACACACGTGCACAGACATGCTCCAGGAACATGAACGCATGTGCAAATACACACCAGGAACACACGTGCACAGACACACTCCAGGAATATGCATACTTGTGCAAATACACACCAGGAACACACGTGCACAGACACACTCCAGGAATATGCACGCATGTGCAAATACACACCAGAAACACACGTGCACAGACACACTCCAGGAATATGCATACTTGTGCAAATACACAGCGGGAACACACGTGCACAGACACACTCCAGGAATATGCATGCATGTGCAAATACACAGCGGGAACACACGTGCACAGACACACTCCAGGAATATGCATACTTGTGCAAATACACACCGGGAACACACGTGCACAGACACACTCCAGGAATATGCATACTTGTGCAAATACACACCAGTAACACGTGCACAGACACACTCCAGGAATATGCATGCATGTGCAAATACACACCGGGAACACACATACACAGACACACTCCAGGAATATGCATGAACAATACACCAGGAACATACGTGTACAGACACACTCCAGAACACACACAGATGGCAGATGTGCAAATACACACCAGGAATGCACACGTAGAAATGCACAAAAAGACGAAATGCTCTGTGTGGAACAGTGAAGACACGCAACCCATTCCCTAAGGACATTTACTCACATGTTCACGCCCACAGCCCAGCCGGCCAGCCCCAGCAGAGCTGCGGCCTCATGACAGCAGGGGCTTGCTGGGCAGTGGGACTTCAGGGTCTATCTCTCACCTGCCCCACTCACGGGCTGCCCGTGCCCTACTCTCGTCCTCGCACAGTGGGACCCAAGATGCATTTGGGCACAGCAGGAGGGAATGTCCTGGTGTGTGAGGAATGGCAGCCGGTGGGAGCTCCGTGAACTGCCTGGCCACAAACCCGCACTGGGAGCATTGTTGAAACTGCCCTCAAAACCACAGTTGAGAGCCGGGTGGGCCCTGGGAGTTTACAGTGTGCTGGGGCAGTGGGGAGAGCCTCTGATAAACACTGGAGGAGATTGCAAAATCGTGGGTCTGAAATGTGGAGCCGAAGTTCAGTTGTAGGCTGGGGCCTCCGGCGGGGCCAGAGTACCTGGGGCAGTGCCTGGCAGGCTGGGCTGGGCCTGGCGCTCTGTTCTTCCTGAGCCCAGGCTGCCATCTGCAGACAACTGCTGCCTGCCTGCTGTCTCGTGCCGCTGGGGGGCAGAAAGGGTCCTGTGGCACCGTGGGCAGGGTGGCGGCTGATCCCCTCTTCCCGCAAGGGACCCTTTTCCTGAAGTCCACGGCACTGGTGCCCCCCAGCAGCCTTGGCCCTCCTCCAGCTTAGCCGCCCCTACATCGTGTTTGACCCCTGGAGCCTGTGGATGGGACCCTGTCTAAGAGGGAGTCTTGTGGGTGAGGTGAGGTCAGGCTCTTGAGGCAAGGAGAGGGTCTGGTCTATTGGAGGGGGGACCTAGATGACATCTCAAGGGTCCTTAGGAGAGAGAAGAGAACAGGGCGCAATCCAGCCAAGGGACTCCGGGGCTTCCCAGAGCTGGAGGAGGCAGGAAGGATCCGCCTGGCAGCCCCTGGCGCCCCCTGGAGGGAGGTGGCCCCGTGACACTTTCCTTTCAGACTCCGGCCTCGGACCTGGAGAGCACATTTCTGATGCTGAAAGCACCAAGCTCATGACACTTTGTTACCACAGCCCCAGGACACATGCAGACTCTCACCTTGACCCAAAGGAGCGTATTTTATTCAAATTTCACAAAACTGAGGACTAGGGGACATTCCAGCTGCTCAGAGAAAAGCTCGTCTGACTTATCTGTAGGAAGATGAGTTACCAGTGATGAGTCACGGCTTTTACCATTTCCAAAAATACCTGTTTTTTCCTGAACTTTTAGTTCTCTCTACCCTGATCAGAAAATTAAAAACAAAACAACAACACTTCGTGGACCAGCCCCGACAGCTGCCGTTCTGTTTTCTCCAGGCCAGCGCTGAGCAGAGCCGAGGTGGGGAGACCTGGGCAGTGCCAGGGCTGGCCCTGCTGCTGCTTCCTGGCTTCTGGACGGGGCTTCCTCTTGGCTCAGGGCCGGGGAAGCCCAGCCTCTGAACAAAGTTAGGGTCAATATCTGCATCCCTGCCCTGGCCAGGCACCGCATCTCACATGGGAAAGACCTATTTGTCCTTAAATGGGAGAGGAGACGGAATCCCAGAAGGGGGCAGTGACCCAACTAAGGTCAAAGGGCTGCCCCCGGGAAACCAGCCGCTTCTCATCCCCAAGGCAGCCTGCCCGCCCTGGAGAGCCCGGGATCCCCAGATACTGTCGACGAAAGGGGCAGGGCCTGTGAGCGACGCTGGCCTTAGGCCTGGACTGCAAGGGGTGGCCCTGGCTAGAGATGGGACTGCACACCCTTCCAGGCACCATCCTGGGTAATGGAGACACTCTGGGAACACGTATGTGCACATGCACATGCTTACACACACATGCACACTCATGCAATTACACATGCATACACAGCCATGTGCACACACACATCCATACACACATCCATACACATGAACACACATCCACACACATCCATACACGGGTGCACACACTTGCAGTCACACATGCACACACAGCCATGTGCACACACATCCACACGTGTACACACATGCAAAACATGCATATGCAGTCATGTGCCCACACATGTGCACACACATATACACACATACAAGCCCCCACACACTCAGCATGTCCACAGGTGGAGGTGGGTGGGGAGGGTGTTCTGGGGGAGCTGGGCAGGTGGGGGCAGCTCTAGGATGGCGGTGCCCGAGCTCAGCCCGGCCTCTGCTTCCTAGGTGCCACCCTAAGGACCAAATCCCCAGAAGCCAGGTGAGGACATCGGAGAACCGGGCTGCTCCGTAGCAGACCCATAGACCCTGATGCATGGCTGGGCACCCTGGCCTGTCCCAGAGCCTGCAGAAGGGCGGAAGCCTAGACAAACTCATCCGCTTCTGCTGTCCCAAGATGACTTTCAGCCCAGGTCAGCCCAGGTAAGTCCGTGTCCACCAGCTGCCCGGTCTGCTCTGGAGGCAGAGGCTTGCAGTTCCGGGAGACAGACCCGCCACCTGGCAGAGGTTGTGGGAGGCTTGTCACCGTTGGTTGGCCCCCTGGCACCTGCCTCTCCTCCCAGGGAGCAGGGATGAGTCAGCTCCCTGGCCCTTGGACTTAGGAAGCCTCAGATGGCTCTGAGAAGGCTCCTCCAGGGCTTCAGAGGCACCCTTAGAGGCTTAGAGTCTCCTGAAGATGCGAGATAGGCCTTTGCCCACCAGCCCATCACAGAGCAGTGGCTCATGCCTGTAATCCCAGCAGTTTGGGAGGCTGAGGCGGGCGGATCACCTGAGGTCAGGTGTTCGAGACCAGCCTGACCAACATGGTGAAACCCCATCTCTACTAAAAATACAAAAGTTAGCCAGACATGGTGGCAGGTGCCTGTAATCCCAGCTACTTGGGAGGCTAAAGCAGGAGAATCGCTGGAACTTGGGAGGTGGAGGTTGTAGTGAGCAGAGATCACGCCATTGCACTCCAGCCTGGGCGACAAGAGCAAAACTTCATCTCAAAACAAACAAACAAAAAGGTAGAGGAAGGGAGAATTATCTCTCTGCCTGACTGCTTGAGAGGTGGCACCTTCTCCTGTCCTCCAGCTGGGACTTGAACCCACAGCCCCACTCATGTGCAGGCCTTCAACTCAAACTGGAACCACAACACCGGCTCTCCTAGGTCTCTGGCTTGCAGATGGCAGATCGTGAGGCTTTTCAGCTTCCAAAATCATGTGAGCCAACTCCTCAGAATAAACTTCTCTCTTTCTCTCATGTAACCACACACATATAAACATGCATGTGCGTGTTTTCCTGCCCTCTCATCTCTGCTCCGTTGACTTATTTCGCTATTCCTGCTTCATTTACTCTAGTTTTCTTAGGCATGTCCATTAACGCAGCTTGTCCTTCTTCGCTTTTTAAAATAGACTTTACTTTTTAGGGAAGGTTTAGGTTCACAGTAAAATCAAGCAGGCAGTACAGAGTTCCCATGCACCCTCTGCTCCACCACAAACATGCAGCCTCCCTCACCATCAACACCCACACCAGAGTGGCCCAGGAAAACGTGTACACATGTGTACACACACACACACACACACACACACACACACACAGCATGTCCACAGGTGGAGGTGTGTGGGGAGGATGTTCCGGGCCCAGTGACAGCACGAACACATGAACCCATCCATCCATCCATCCATCCATCCATCCATTCATCCATCCATCCATCCATCCACCAATCCTCTTGGCTCTGCTTCTCTGGAGAGCACTGTGCACACAGATGCACACAGATATCTTCACTTGGTCTTCAACCCCGGAGCACAGGCAGTGCAATGGACTAAAGATAGCCTTTTCAACAAATGGTGCTGGAACAACTGGACATCCACATGCAGAAAAAACAAATGAATCTAGACACAAACCATAAAACCTTCATAAAAATTAACTCACAATTTATCACAGACCTAAATGTCAAATGCAAAACTATAAAACTCCTAGAAGGTATCGCAAGAGAAAATCTAGATGACTTAGGATTTGGTGATGTTTTTAAAGTACAACATCAAAGGCTGATCCATGAAAAAATATCAGTGATAAGCTGGACCTCATTAAAATTAAAACCCTCTGCCCTGCAAAAGACAAAGTCAAAAGAATGGGAAGATGAGCCACAAACTGAAAGAAAGTGTTTGCAAAATACACATCTGATAAAGGACTGTTATCCAAAATATATAAAGAACTCTTAAAACTCAACAGTAAGAAAACAAACAACCCGATTAAAAAATGGGCAAAAGACCTGAACAGACACTTCATTGGAGAAGATGCACAGATGGCAAAGAAGCACATGTAAAGATTGTAAGAAATGCACCTAAAACAACAATGAGATGCCACCACACACCTGTTAGGAAGTCAGATTCCAGAACACTGACCACTGAATGCTGGTGAGGGTGTGGAGCAAAGTTTGGCATTCACTCATCACTGGTGGGAATGCAGAACAGCACAGCTACTTTGGAAGCCAGTTTGCAGTTTCTTACAAAACTAAATGTGTTCTTACTATACATTCTAGCAATTACATTTATTGGCATTTACCCAAAGGAAGTGAACATTTATTTCCATACAATCACCTCCATGCAGATGTTTATAGAAGCTTTATTCATAATTGCCAGAACTTGGAAGCAACCAAGATGTCCTTCAGTAGGTGAAAGGGGTAGGTGGACCGTGGCACACCCAGACAGTGGAATATGATGCAGTGCTAGAAAGAAATGTGCTGTCAAGCAGCCAGGAGAAAACATGCAGGAGCCTTGACTATGTATTACTACGTGAAAGAAGCCATGCAGAGAAGTCTACAGACGGTGTGATTCTAACCATGTGACACTCTGGAAAAGGCAATATCGTGGTCGCCAGCGCTCAGGAAGGAGGGACAGACAGGCAGAGCCCAGGGGATCTTCAGGGCGCAGAACCGCTCTGTGTGGGACTGCAGTGGTGGATCCATGCCATTGCACATCTGTCCAAACCCACGGCATGAAGAGCACCAAGAGCGAGCCCTCGTGTGGACCAGGGTCTTTGGGTGCTGACAATGTGGCCACGCAGGCTCATGGCTTGTAATAAATGGGCCGCTCCGGTGTGGGTGTTGATGGTGAGGGAGGCTGCATGTTTGTGGTGGGGCAGAGGGTGCATGGGAACTCTGTACCGCCTGCTCGATTTTACTGTGAACCTAAACCTTCCCTAAAAAATAAAGTCTATTTAAAAAAAAACTAAGAAGGACAAGCTGCGTTAATAGACATGCATAAGAAAGCGAGAGTAAATGAAGCAGGAATAGAGAAATAAACCAGCGGAGTGGAGTTGAGAGGGCAGGAAAAGTTCCACGCAACTGTGGGAGTCCCATTCGTGATAAGGGCGGTTTCTCAAATGAGGGGTATGCGATGGACTCCCCAGTACATGTGAAGTCAGACCCTCGCAAGACTGAACCAAGAAGAAGTTGAATCCTGAATAGACCAATAACAAGTTCTGAAATTGAGGTAGTAATAAATAGCCATTCCTCCCATTCCTCACTTCATTCCCAAAAACATGTTTCACAGACAGTAAAAGCCTAAACAGGAAGGGAAACTATAAGATATCAGAGGATGGGAGTTCACTCATGATTTGGGTTTCTGCTTATCTGTTGTTGGTGTATAGGAATGCTTGTGATTTCTGCACGTTGATTTTGTGTCCTGAGACTTTGCTAAAGTTGTTTATCAGCTTAAGAAGCTTTTGGGCTGAGACGATAGGGTTTTCTACATACAGGATCATGTCATCTGCAAACAAAGACAATTTGACTTCCTCTCTTCCTATTTGAAACCCTTTATTTCTTTTTCTCGCCTGATTGCCCTGGAGTCAGAACTTCCAACACTATGTTGGGAAAGAGTGGTGAGAGAGGGCATCCCTGTCTTGTGCTGGTTTTCAATGGGAATGCTTCCAGCTTTTGCCCATTCAGTATGATATTGCCCATGGGTTTGTCATAAATGGCTCTTACTATTTCAAGGTATGTTCCTTTAATACCTAGTTTATTGAGAGTTTTTAACACGAAGGGTGTTGAATTTTATGAAAGGCCCTTTCTGCATCTATTGAGATAATCATGTGGTTTTTGTCATTGGTTCTGTTTATGTGATGGATTACGTTTATTGACTTGTGTATGTTGAACCAGCCTTGCATCCCAGGGATGAAGCTGACTTGATCGTGGTGGATAAGCTTTTTGATGTGCTGCTGGATTTGGTTCGCCTGTGTTTTATAGAGGATTTTCACATTGGTGTTCATCAGGGATATTGGCCTGAAGTTTTCTTTTTTGTTGTTGTGTCTCTGCCAGGTTTTGCTATCAGGATGATGCTGGTCTCATAAAATGAGTTAGGGAGGAGTCTCTCCTTTTCAATTATTTGGAATAGTTTCAGAAGAAACGGTACCAGCTCGTCTTCATACTTCTGATAGAATTCAGCTGTAAATCCATCTGGACCTGGGCTTTTTTAGGTTGGCAGGCCATTTATTACTGCCTCAATTTTAGAACTTGTTATTGGTCTATTCAGGGATTCAACTTCTTGGTTCAGTCTTGGGAGGATGTATGTGCCCAGGAATTTATCCATTTCTTCTAGATTTTCCAGTTTATTTGCATAGAGTTCAAAATAACTATGAATACAGCTAACAAGGGAAGTGAAGGACCTGTTCAAGGAGAACTACAAACTGCTGCTCAAGGAAACCAGAGAGG